>NC_000001.11:208942162-209093677 GCF_000001405.40 Homo sapiens
TACCAACTTAACTCGTCTGAAGTGGGACTCAGGCATTGGAAGAAAAAAAAAAAAAACAAAAACAAAAAAACAAAACAAAAAAAAACCTTGCTAGATGAATCTAATGTGTAGCAGGGTTGGAAATCATTCATTCAAACTCTCGGAATACTTTAATTTCCCTTCAGTTTTTGAAGGAAGCACACACCATTACCCTCATGTACCCATAACCTTGAACCCTACCCTGAATTTTCTGACTTCTCTTCATGCCTGACTAGACAAAGAACATAGAACAACATTTGGAAAATGTATGCATTTTATTTCAAGAGTAACTCACTCCTATGATATAATAAAATGAAATAAAACCACAGAAAAATGAAAATTTTCCAGAAATTTCTGATCTGATAAGAATGACTAACACTTATGCATAGGGAATTTCAAAGACAGGAAGTAAAATTCCCTAGGGCTGAAAATGTTTCATATTACTAAGGCTCTCCATGGACATATTCAGGCTCATAAAAAAAATAATAAAGTTGCACTTGTAGGCTGGGTAAACAAATGGAATTTTAGAACCTCTTGTTTCTGAGATGTAGGCCTCCTACTGGTCCCCTCCAGAGTACCCTTCTAGCTGTCCTAATTGATGTAAAACTCATTAAGCCATAATTGCTGTATAGCCTGGTGCTTGAGAAGGTGCTTGAATTCGCACCAAGAAGTAATTTTGATGCTCACCAGTGCTCCCTTCTGGATGGAGAAAATCATTTCTTGGCCACTCCATGCTGAGCAAAGTCCATGAGCTAAAATTAGGATTAGAGTTGCCAACACATGGCATCATTCTTTCATTCATCAGTTATTTGCTCTCAGAGATCTGACAATGTCATCAGAGCAATTTTGTTCTTGGCTCATTTCAGAGGCAAAAGGGGGCACAGGGGACCCTACCAAGGTAGTAATTTTCTAGGTAATCATCCTAATGTCTTCATCCTGAATGCATTTGTATGAGTAAGTTAATTAGGGAAGTTAATTTTCACAAATGGCACCAAAATGCCTATTTGTTGGTGATGCTGCCTTGTGCCAACGCCTGGCTCAAGGTATCCAGAAAAGATAAGTTGATGTTCTGCATCCATTACTGAAGCCCAGCTTGGACCAGGAAGAACCACATCTGCCAGCTTGGCAGATGTGATCAGGGTTTGACGTTTTCTAAAAGTTGAGAAAGAGAAATTCTAACCTTGCCACCAGCAGAACAGTATGGAGAATGCCTTCTGTCCATCCTTGACATTTCTGCTTATAAAGAAGGACAAGAGGAATGGCTCCATGTGGGGGTGACCCCAGACAGAGAAGGCCTCAGCATGGTGCTAAATCAAGTCAGTGACAGGCTCCGGCTGCCTGGATTCTTCCTGAGCAGTGGCTTTCTCTCCCAGTCACTCTGAGGCTGTGGGGATAAGAGCGACGCATCACAGCAAATGGGATCTTTGGGAGCTCACGCTTTTCATGTCTGCAATCTGGTGGCTCTGGAATAGGACCAGAGTGACAAAGCTACCTCTTCTCTCCAGGAGAAAATATGTTTTTCTCATGTGAAGGTAGAGGAAAGAAAGAAGAAATGGAAAAACTCCTCCCACAGTGTTAGTAAACTGTGGGTGCAACTCAGCTCTCGAGAAAGAGGAGAAAGAGGGTGGTGAGGTGAAGCCCATTCTCAGGGACAGCAGGAGCCAGTCAGCTGCAGGGATAATGGGAAGCTGGGGTTCACACCTAACTTGAAACATTTGTTTGGGGTATTCTCTGTGGATCTTCTGGGCCAACTTACTCTAAAAGAAAACATAGTATAGTCAGAAAAGAACAGTCTGAGTTTCTGTATTGATCCCTAATGAGTTCTATCATCTTATGTAAATTTCCACCTTGCTGACGTATTTTTTTTTTATTTTGGAAATGAAAGTATGAACATTTATCTCTGAAGACTAGTGGGAAGGTTACATCAAATAGTTTCTGCTCTGCACCTTTCACATAGTAGGTATTTATAAACATGGCTTTTCTTCTGCTGCATCTGGAATCAAAAGACATTTCATCCTTCCTTTTGTACATTTTCATCCTAGTAAATTATTAGAATGAAGAATCTCTGGCTTCTCCCTCAATTTTTATGGACTTTGCTATGAAGTAACATTTCATTTCTGCCACATCTAAATGTGTACTTGTCTTGACTTTGAGACAAAAAGGTGGATAAATCTATTAGTAATTAGCATTAACTGGTAGAGATCTGGCAAGATAGATTTTCCTGAGACGGACAAAGAGTTTTATGAACAGAGAAGAATCAGGCCGGGCGCGGTGGCTCACGCCTGTAATCCCAGCACTTTGGGAGGCCAAGGCGGGAAGATCACGAGGTCAGCAGATCGAGACCATCCTGGCTAACACAGTGAAACCCCATCTCTACTAAAAATACAAAAAATTAGCCAGGCGTGGTGGCACATGCCTGTAGTCCTGTCTACTCGGGAGGCTGAGGCAGGAAAATGGCGTGAACCCGGGAGGCGGAGCTTGCAGTGAGCAGAGATCGCACCACTGCACTCCAGCCTGGGTGACAGAGAGAGACTCCGTCTCAAAAAAAAAAAAAAAAAAAAAAAAAAGAAGAATCAATTTTACCTTTGTGCAGGGAAAAACATATATACCAGAACACATGACTGGCAACTGTATGAAAACATTTTGGAGGACAGGAGGGAAACCGCCAGGCAGAGATAATTGGAAGCCAGTTGTATCTTGTCAAACACTACATTCCCAAACACTCCAGCACTCTGTGAAGTGTTTGAAATAGCAGGTCTCCAGGACTCCAGCACTCACACTCCCATGTTCTGACTGATACAAAGTTTTCCTTTCCTCCTCCATCATTTGGAAACTCACTAACTTCAAAAAAACAAACAGAGAAGAGCTGCCCTTTGAATAAATGCCCCTAAAACACATATTTTTATATTATATGATAGGAGAAACTTTGAAAGTGGAACAAAGGCAGGAAGCAAAAGTTTTCCTGTTCATGCCAAACATTCCTGAAAGAATTCCAAGCAAGAAAGGACAAATTTTTTTTCTGATTATATGCTTTGTTTTTTATTGTTTTGCCTTACTTCAACTCTCTGAACAATATTTCCCTAAATATTTTCTCCCTTGAGGATTGGAGTCATGGAAAATGGTTCCATAGTTTTGGGTGCTTTAACATGGAATGTTTTACAAAGCTTCCAAAAGCCCTTGACACAAACGTGATGAAAAATTATTAAACTCCTCTCACCAGAGTAGTTTCCTTTTGAGGTAAGCATTGCTCTTTTCCTGTACGTATTTTTTAAATGCCCATGTTCCTGGAAAAATGCAATGACTGTTTTAAGAAAGAGGAAATACAAAGACAATACATTCTGTGTCTTTTCTTTTCTAAGGACGTTCCATATGCTTTTTATTTTACCTTCATGACATCCTTGTGGAGAATATTTTCTCCATTTTACACAAGAGGATGTTTAGGTGAAGAAAGATTTGCTAATTCGGCAACATTGTCCAGCCCAAAAGTTATGGAGGCAACATTCAAACCTAGGTCTGCTCAACTTACGTATTATACTTATTCTCATTATTCAGCTGGACCTCCCAATGGGGTTCTAGGTACTTGATCACTGAGAATAGTGGAGGAAGAGAGTCAAGCAAGAAGACAATAAAGGCACATTTCGCCTACAGCACCTTTGCAGAAGCTGCCCAGCTCCTTGATGTAATTATTCCTAAGACAGTAACAACTCCAGATCAGAACTTCAGAGGATATTTGTGATACTGTAAAATAGGGGACCTTAAAATGGGCTACTTTTTCCAGGAGCAAGAATTGTTATAGCCTATATCTATTCACATATTTGTTCAACATTTTTGAGTACATGCTCTTTTCCAGCATATACTAGGAGTTAGGAGCTATTCAAAGATGAGTAAGATGTTAATCAAATCCTCAAGAAAGAAGGACTAATAATTTAGTGAGAAAATGTTCCTGCTGGAGACATGCACACAGAATGACAAGCCTGGATATAAAATGAATAACCACCATAAGAAAATGATAGATTAAATGCCATCTATTAATAGTTAAGAGAATGGAGAGATTATTATAAGTTATAATTATCAGGGTTGGCTTCATGGAGGAGATGGCATTTTATCAGAGATTTTAAATACAGGTAAAAGTCATATACATAATGATGGGGTACAGAGCAAAGGCACAGAGAGAAAAAAGTTATCACATGAAGTCATTAATCACTCTATTCTCTGCCTAGATTCTTTCTAAGGTCTAGTGTCATGGACCACTAGGCCTGACTTAGAAATGTCTTCTTAATAGATTTCTTTCTTCCCTTTGCAAAAACGTTAAAAAGTAGGGGCACATTTTAGATTTAAATGGATAAAGATGTCAGATGTCAACACACACACAAAAAAAAACAAGAAGCAGACACATAAATTCTGCATTCAGTAAATGCAGGACACCTGCAATTTACAACCAGAATATGTGAAAAAGAAAAGTAAATGAAAGTAGTAATAAATTTGAAACTCAATTACACAGAGGAGACAGGGGTACCAATGAGAGGCAAGCCACCTCACCCAACAGAAACCCAGAAAAATGCAGAATGGTAAACAACAGATAAAATGAACTAGAATAAGGTGTGGGATATAAATCAGGGAAATTCACTGAAATGGTGTTTGTATGCTAGGTCCCCATCCTGACCCTACCCAGCCAATCAACGATTTCTTCTTCATCCACGACAGATCAGAAGACCTTTCTTTTAAGTAAATCTGCAGACTTGGAATAAAGACCTCTAGATGCTAATATTTGAGGTTCCTTAATATAGGATACCCTATAGTAGAGCCTATCACTAGTGTGCATGAAGTTTTTTGACAGTTACTTTTAAACCTATCATTTTTAAATAAGCTTTTTAATGCTTCAGTCATAAGTAGGAAAAGATGGCTAAGTGTCATCTATCATGAAAGGCATGACCAAATAAGCAGGAAATAAGGAACTCAGTAGAAAGAGAGAGAAATCAGGAAACAGAAGAAAATGTTAAAATAAGTTATGATTAATATTCCCAGAGAGATAAAGGAAGATATTGCTTCCATGACACTGGAACAGATGCAATAGTAAAGAAAAAGAAGGAAGGAGGGTGGGGAGGGAGAAAAAGAAAGAGGAGGAAGAGGAAGAAAAAGAATAGGACAGAGAAGAATCCTAGAACAAGAAAGGCTCCTGGATATTAACAACACAATAGTTAATTTAAAATAAAAACACTTAAATAGAAGGATTGGAGGATAGAGTTCAGACAACATATAAGAAAGTAGGACAGGCTGGGTGTGATGGCTCACGCCTGTAATCCCAGCACCTTGGGAGGCCGAGGTGGGTAGATCACAAGGTCAAAAGATCGAGACCATCCTGGCCAACATGGTGAAACCCCGTCTCTACTAAAAATACAAAAATTAGCTGGGCATGGTGGCTCATGCCTGTAATCCCAGCTACTTGGGAGGCTGAGGCAGGAGAATCGCTTGAACTCGTGGGCAGAAGTTGCAGTGAGCCAAGATCGCGCCACTGCACTCCAGCCTGATGACAGAGCAAGAACCCCGTCTCAAAAAAAAAAAAAAGAAGAAGAAGAAAGTAGGACAAAAAGATAAAAATATTGTCTATGGGAGTGATAAATTTTTTTTAAATGAGGTAAGTAAATAGGGAACTCTAGAAAACAAAGGAAATCAGAGGGAATAAATAAATAATATAATTGATTCCAGAATTCAAGCAGTTTTTATTTATATTGAAAAATATATTAAGACCAATGAATGAAAAAGGATATCACAGAGTCACAGTAGCATCATGACATTTTACATTACCGAAAAAAAGACCCTATAAACTTGAAGCGATGGAGAAAAAAATTATATTCAAAGGATTCAGGACCTGAATGACATCAGACTTCTGAATTTTAATGTAAGTCAGAAGATACTGAGCAGCACTTTCAAAATTCGGAGGGATAATGACTCTCCACTCAAAACGCTCAATGTAGCTAAATGAGAGATCAAGTGTGAAGGTAGAATAAAGACATTTGCAAACATGCAGGGTCTTAAAAATGTGTTTCTCATGCATCCTTTCTCTCAGGAACATTCGAGAAGATGGGCTCTTTGAAAGCAGAAAAGGAAACTGGGAAAGAAGGATACATGGAAGCTAGGAAATAGAGACTTTCGCATAGCGTAGAGGTGAAGGAAAGTCCCAGGAAGAAAGTGAACAGAATTTCCAGGATGGCTGGTGCAGAGCAGGCTTGGCGACTAAATAATCCAGATTACAGCAGGAGTCCAGAGAGACCCAGAAGGGATATTTCCAGGAGACAAATAACAGTGAAGGAACTTATAGATCATCTCACACATTTAGTGGCAGAAAATTGTATTCAGAGGCTAGTGGAGGTTATTCAAAGACATAGTCAAAATTTCACGGAAAAACAAGCAAATGAAGGGGAAAAATCAGGTAATTAGTCACTGTGATATGACTATACTGGTAAGATGGAAGAATAGGAGGCATTCTAAGAATGCTATATTCTCTCTACCCTAAAACCAGGAAGGGGAGAAGAGAGAAGAGGAGAGGGGATGGGGAAAAGAAAGAGGAAACGGAGGAGAAGAAAATAAAAAGAAAACCCTAAAAAAAAAAAAAACCAAAAAGACAGGTTAGAAGTTGTTGCCTCTGGAAAGCAGAACAGGATGGATGGTGAGAAGACCCCAGCCCTCAAAAAACCTTTAAATTATGTCTATGTTTTGATAAAATAAATTAAAATGTCCAAAGACTAAGATTTAGAGTTAGGTTTATATAAGCATGAAGATAGGTGGTTAGTCTAAAAATTCCCCATTCCTTCCCACTCCAAATAAACAGCTAAAATGTGGTTTAAAGGAGGACTTAATAAAGTGCTATCTACCCATGGGGAACAACAATTTCTGGTTTAGAACTGAATTGAGGCTCTTTTAATTTCCAAAATTTAGGACACAGATTTTAAAATGTTACTGTATGTTTTATACTAGCTCATTCTCATGTGTACTTACAGTTGAAAAACGTCTATTAGCATTGAGGAAAGCTCAAAATTTGATTGAATGCTAAACAAATACATATAATTGAACATTGTGTGAAACTAAGTACTTATCCAGTGAATAAAATCAACAGTTACAACAATGTTAGACTGAACATGCTGCAATTTCTGTGTACTTTTCTTCTCAGATTGTTTAGTAACAGGTAAGAAATAAAAATGTTTACATAAGTAAGGATGTTCTCAAAGATTTACGTCCAAGAATAATCATCCTTGTACTGTTTATAACAGTTAAAGATTGAAAACTACTTAAAAGACAGTCAATGGAGTATTGGTTGAATAATGTGATGTATTTTTATAATGGAATATACCCATCTGATACTTAAAAACATTATTGGTTACCAAACCAAAAAATATGTTTACAATATTTTTAAGAGAAATAAGCAGAACTCCAAACTCTGCATTCAATGTGATCCCATATTCAATATCCTTTGTTTTATTTATATATTTTTGCTATATTTTACCTCAATTAGAATCCTACTCTATAACCTACTGACTGTGTGTTTGAAAGTTACTTAAGGCTTAAATTTTTAGCTTTCAATTCATTATGTGTAAAATAGGAATACTAGTAGTACCTACACAATAAGGTTGTTGTGTAGAGTAAATGAATTAATGTATATTAAATGCTTTGAACATTTCCTGGCATATGGTAATCATGATCTGTCAGTTGCTGATGTTCTTATTAGTAGCAATAGAAGGAGATGAAGTACTATTATATGGGCCATCAATGGTTTTCTCTGGAAGGTGGAATTCTGGGGACCTTAGTTTCTTTCCTTAGTTAATAAACTTTTTACAATAAGTTTGTTGCTCTCTTGTAAGAAAAAACCAGATTTTAGTAATAATTTTAAAAGCATAGATTTAATAATAGAAAAAAATAAGATGATGCTTCTCCCACAGATAGTCTCATAAAAAGTGGGAGAACAATTCTATTTTTTTCTTCTTTAAATAATTCTCCCATTAGTGTGTTGACAGTGTTACTCAAGAGATTTCCAGGGATCTACACATAGATTTTTGATGGTCCAAAAGTTTTCTTAAATAATATTTTAATTTAGATTGGTTTAATTCTAAAAAATTACCATGAGCATGTCTGGATCTTCCAGATGCTACACATACACACAAACACTGCCAAGTGATTGCAGCACATCGTGACTGTCTCAGGGTAAGAAAAGAACAGTCTTAATTGTAATGATGTCGTTTTGCCAAATAGGATTCCATTGACCTAATACCACATTGAAGGAATGAAGGTTTTGCTGTGTTGTATACTGAACAGAAGAAAGTGGTGTAAGAAATGAATCGTGCCAAGCTTAGAATCTCAAAAGAACTGGGATCACAGCACTCCCATATCTGTGATGTGGTTTGCTTTGGCAAACACCATACATCACAATAAATGTAAACGATTAATTCCAATTTTACAGTGTTTATACTATTTTTACATTTAATTTTATAAATTCATTTGCGATTTATAGTGGTTTAAGGACCTGAAGCTTTTATTAGGAAATTATACTTAGTTTTATGTTTATATGCTTAAGTGACATAATAAAAATAAACAGTGAGTGTTTATGAGAAATATTTTTTCTCTAAATGGGGTACACGCGTTCAAGATTGATAATGATATACTGTGCAAGCTCTGACTAGAATAGAATTTTAATTTAAATTAATTAAAATATTTAAAAATTCTTATTATAGTTATAACACCGGGCTAGCAGTCTGAGTACTACAGAAGGCATTTACGCTATGTTCTGGTTCTTGATGGTTTCACAATTTTTAAGACATTATTCATGAAACTATTAATATTAAGTAGCAAAATAAGATAGCATGTGGTTAAGTACCTGGAGTTGTTCAGACAGTAAATGTCTAGGAGTTTAGCTCAGGGGAAAAGCCCAGAGGGTTGGAATGGTGAAGGAAGGCTGCCAGGGGGAGTTGGAACTTTAACTTCTAGTCTTGAGGGAGGAGCAGGAGGGATTCCAGCCAGAGGACTCTCATAGAAAAAGAGGAGGGGTAGCAGTGAAGGTGTCGCATCTGGCATGGGTTTGTGAAGGAATAGAGTGGGAACCATGTGCGTGACCTCGGAGCAGGACACAGGGAGCCATTAAAAGTTTATCAAGAGAGTAATATAGTAAAAGTAACATTTTGAAAATGACTCTTCTGATCGAAGCATTTAATAAGCTCTTACAACATGCCAAGCACTACGCTAAGCATAAACATGTTGCCTCAATGCAAGATGGACTTAGAATGGAGGCAGAAAAGACCCCAGCTGTGACAAGAATGCACATTTGAGAATCTGGGCCATGTCTGATTGCCTGTCTTGTTTTTGTTGCCCCAAACAAACAAAGAAACAACAAAGGCAGGGAAAAGTGTAATAGCCAAAGTAATAACTGGCAGCTGCACAAGCCCTCGGTCAGGTCCATGTCATTACAGGAGTCCCTGGTGCCCCACACTTCCTAAAGGCAGAAGAGCCACAGAATGGCAATGAATATGTAAAGGTGAGCCTGGGTGGTTAGGTCATTTCTTCAGGAAGGAAAGACAGAAATAAAATCAGAACAGGGTGTATGTGTGTGTGTATGTGTTTGTGTGTCCAGAGGAGTTGGTACGATGACTTGTCCAGCTTGTCTTTAGACAAGCGTTCTGTATGGTATGATCTTTACTTTAGCAGACTTACCCAGGCCATATCTTGTGGCAGCAAAGTCCTACAGTTGGAATTAGGGGAATTTGGGGTTAAATTCCACCCTGCCTTTTACTAGCTCTATGACCTTCTACAAGTCATTTAGACTATATTTACCTTATCTTCCTGAATCATAAAATGTAGGTCATAATAGTTCACAGAATTGGCAGGAAAAGGAAGCAAGGACTATTTTGTCAGTGCATCATATATACCACCCTTACCCTTGCTCTGATGTTTTGCTTTATCACAGTTCATCAGCAGCTGCTGCAGGATCCCTGCTCTGGCTCCCAGAGAGCAACACACTTGGGTTGTGTGAGAGCCTCCTGTGTAAACAACTGGGCCATAAAACAGAGCCCACCAGCTGCCACTCATGGCTCCTTCAGAGTCAGCAGAGGTGAAGGCTACAGAGACAACCCAGATTCACTAAGAAAATGACCAAGGATTGGAATAGGATTGTGGGTGGGGACGCAGGCTTGGAGCAGCCACATACAACAGTCATTCTTAGCTCAGACCCTTGGCGATGGCTGCTCGGTCCCTCCATTCCTTTTCCCACAGGACACTGGACTGAAAAAAAGCATAGACAAGGCAGTCTGAGGTCTGGGAGTGAGGTTGCAGGGACACGTTGTATAATACTTGCCCACAGTGGAGATGAGACTGAAGCAAGAGCTCCCAGGTTGCCCAGAGAAATGAACTCATAAGTATGTATTGAACCCAGACATCACTCTCTGAGGCTAAGCATAGAACTGCCATAGTGTGGGAAATCTCTTTTCTTTCCATCCACCTTACATTTTTCTCTCCTATAAGCAGCAACTTAGAGCAGATATGCATTCCTTTTGCCCAGCTCACAGTCTTTCATCCTCTTGAGTTTGCCTATCTAGAAAAGGTCATGGATTTTATGTTCTGTAGTTCTTCATTTAGCCCTTGAATCAGACTGATAAAAGACTAATTTTCTAGTACCAAAGATACAGCCTAGAGCAGGTTCTTCTATTTGAAGACAAGTAGATTTTACACACACACTTGGACTTACAGAATATAATTAAAACATAAGAGAGCTTTCATGGCCACTCCAGCTCTTCTGGAAATCTAATGGAGAAGAAATAGGTAGAACTTCCAACCACAGAAGCAGGTTGAGGGTTTCTACTCCAGTGCACCATTTTCTTTTTTTCTTTTTAACCACCCCTTTTAATTTACAATCCTTATCAAGCATAGGTTGAAAAAACTAATTATCCTGAAAGCGTTCCAGGAATTCAGAGTTGGGCTCCCCAGGTACATCAAGAATGGCCAGACACCCCAAGCAGGGCCTCCCTATCAAAAGCAATTAACTAATCTTTTAAATATACATGACTGAGATTAAGTCATAGAACTTAGATTTCCAACATATGTTTGGCATTTGAATTCAAACTACTGAATTACGAGAAAGTTGCACCAGCCAGCTTTGTAAGAGCCCTACAGGCTTCAACTACACAGCGGCATGCTGGTGACCAAATTAAAAAAAAAATTAACTTCCTTGTAAAGTAAGTTTAAGTTAGAAAACTCTAGACCCCCAAAAGAGATTGTTATCTATAGTCTTTAATTCAACCAACATTAATTGGACATCTCCTGGTACCTGAGCAACACTGAGATATGTTACTGATTAACAGTAACTTAGTTCAGCAGTTAGTGTGAGATAAGCTTGAATCATCTCACCTAGTACAGTTTAACCAGTCTACCTAAACCCCTTTTAATTATCCATCTTTATCAAGCACTGGATGTATTAAACCAGCTCTTTACTGCATGGTACATATGCCTCCTTTCTTCCTACCTAGAGGAAAGATGAATAAATGGTCATCTCCAAGTTATTTGAGTACCACATTGTTCTATTTCCATAAGAATCTTCTAAAAGAATGGGTATGAATTTCTCCTATATATAGTGGTCTGAGAGGCTCCATCCGCTTCTTCAATGCCCACATTGAGGTAAGAGATCATCAGGCCTTGTTTTCTGCACACCAGTCAAGACTCTGATAATCAAAACAGGATATAGCAAAGAAACCAATCAAAAACAGTCAAGACGGCCGGGCGCGGTGGCTCACGCCTGTAATCCCAGCACTTTGGGAGGCCGAGGCTGGCGGATCACGAGGTCAGGAGATCGAGACCATCCCGGCTAAAACGGTGAAACCCCGTCTCTACTAAAAATACAAAAAATTAGCCGGGCGTAGTGGCGGGCGCCTGTAGTCCCAGCTACTTGGGAGGCTGAGGCAGGAGAATGGCGTGAACCCGGGAGGCGGAGCTTGCAGTGAGCCGAGATCCCGCCACTGCACTCCAGCCTGGGCGACAGAGAGAGACTCCGTCTCAAAAAAAAAAAAAAAAAAAAAAAACAGTCAAGACTTGGAATTATAATACATTTGCATAAGACACTCCCACCAGCACCATGATGGTTTAAAAATGCCATAGCAATGACCTGGAAGTTATCTTATAGGGTCGGGAACTCCCTGACCCTTTTCTAGAAAATTTGTAAGTAACCCACCCCTTAGTTAGCATATAATTCGAAGCAGGTATAAATGTAGTTAGCCAACAATCCACAAGTGCTACTTTGCCTGTGGGATAGCCCTGTTCTGTCTATTGAGCAGCCATTTTGCTACACATTGCTGCTCAAATAATCTTGCTGTCTTTCACTGCCAGCCCACTCTTGAATTCTTTCCTGAGGAAAGCCAAGAACTCTCCTGGACTAAGCTCCAGTTTTGGGGATAACCTGCATCAACATGATCCACTTTCTTACTGCCCTCCACACTGTCCGGGCCAGAAATAGAAGACATGCTTTCTTACCTCCACTTTTGTAGGACTGAATGGGCTGGGGAGGCATTAAGTGACAAACCTAAGAAAAGAAACAGAGTGAATCTGAATCTAAACTCTACTTTGTCTTCATTCCGAGAGTGGCATCTGCTGACATATGCTTCTCCTTTTCCAGATGTAGTGATGAGGGCTTCTGCTTACACAGGAGCCCCGGGAGAACCAAAACTCCACTGGCTGTTTATAGTTTGTTGTAGGCTCCTAAAGTCAGCACTGATTCAAACCCCTTAGCTTAGCTCTCTGCTGCCTACATTTCTTAGGGAAGCGGCTCTGGGGAACACGGGAGGAATAAGCATGGAGGGAGGTAACAAAGCTATTTTGAAGTGTGACTTGGAATATATTAAGCTAGTTTATTCTGCATGGAAGAAATCTGAGAAGCATAAGTAATAAAGGAACAGGGGTGAGGATGTTACAGAAAAAAACACATAGGCTATGCACTCTAGGAAATCTGTTCTCTAATTTAACTAGAAGAGTTAATGATTTTAATGATTTGTTGTGATCTCAAAACAACAGTTAAGAGATAAATCCACATCATTAAGTCTATTATGGTGTTTTGCTTCATTAAGCAAATGGTGGTGGGTTGAGGGGCTTGGGTTGAATTTTTGAGGTTGTTTTGCTGTGAAGACACCCACATTTAAATAATAAGAACAAACTCCTGGGGCCCAGGAACAATTGGCTCTTAAATCCTTTGTAGTGAGAAATGGAAGGATGCCCTGAAAACTTAACCCAAAAGTTTGCTCAAATGTGTCTTTTGTGTATTCAGGGCAGAAAGCAAACAAGCACAGAAAATTGAAAGTTGCTCTTCTTCTTGGCTTGAGGCCCTAGTCCAGGGGAAAAGACACATGGTTCCCAGCATATTGATGCTCTGGGGGAAATGTCTGAACATACTTCTAGAATAGTCAAAGACCATTCCCACTGTCATGTGCAGAGATATGTCTTATGTTTATAATGTTATTTACGTGATAAGGAGACAGAACTGTCAAAATAATAACATAGTAAACTTGGCTGTTCAGAGTTCTCTATTAAATGCCATTTAAGCTTATCTACAGTATCATGATCATCAAAATGTAAACAAAAATTCTGAGGCACAAAATATATTCTGAAATGCTTCTGAGGTCATCAGAAACCTCTATATACATAATGTCTTCTTTGAAATTTTTTGCTTTCACTGACACCTGACTCTTTCCAAAAGATGCTGCCTTTCCTACAGCCCTTTCAAGTGATTTAACTTAGAAAATTTTAGAAAACTCAAGGCCGCCATACCACTGATAACACTGTCTATAGGCAGGCCATCTGAAGTCCATGTTTCCTATTGCCACTTCCAGATCTTTAGCCCTTATACCTACATAACTCCCTCTTTCTCCTCTCCAGCTTTGATGGCAACGCCATCAAATTATATTATCACTCCCTCCTCCTTTTCATCTAGAGATCTCAAGATGGATTAAGCTTCTTTATTCCTTGTTGGTTTTAGCCCCTGGTTTACCGATACTCTCTCTAAACAACTCCTGTCACAGTTCTTCCTGATTTTAATATGCCTGAAGATGTTCCTTTCAATACTGGACTCTCAGTTCCATGACTTAATCTCTTCCATTTTCTCAGCCAACCAATCCCATGGTCGTTCCCTAGACCTTGCCATTACCAATAACAATGCACTCATATCAATTTTAAACATCCTCTTTATCTTACCAGCATCTCTTGTTTCTCCAGCTTATTCTAAGTGCCTCATCTCCAGTAATTCTTCCCAATCCCATGGTCATTCCCTATATCTTGTCATTATCAATAACATCAACTTAATATCAATTTTAAGCATCCTCTAATCTTGCCAGCATCTCTTGTCTTTCTGACTCAAGTGCCTCATCTCCAGTATTTCTTTTGTGCAAACTTGCCAAACTATATCTAAAAATCTATCCATCACACAAGCTTTTCAATATCTCTCACTCCCTCCATGACATCATTTCCTTTACATGGGCATACATGCCAAGATGAATAACTATAATCATTCCCTTGTGCACAATTTTGACACCCTTGACTTTCTCTCATCTTTTTTCTCTTCACCAAAATCACCCAGCAAAATTCCCAACTAAGCATTTAAATGTGCCTAGAAAAACCTAGAAGAGATGAATAAATTTCTGGACATATAACCTCCCAAAATAGAACCAGGAAGAAATGGAAGTCCTGAACAGATGAATAATGAGTAGCAAGATTGAATCAGTAATTTTTTAAAAATCTCCCAACAAAAAAAGAGCCCAGGACCAGATGGATTTACAGCCAAATTCTACCAAACATACATACCTATTCTCCCAAAACTATTTCAAAAATAGAGGAGGAGAGAATACTCCCTAACTCATTCTCTGAGACTAGTATACCCTGATACAAAAACCAGACAAGGGCACAACATAAAAAGAAAACTACAGACAAATATCCCTGATGAACACAGATGCAAAATTCCTCAACAAAATCCTACCAAATTGAGTCCAACAGCACATCAAAAAGATGTAATCCTAAGATCAATTGGGATTTATCACAGGGATGCAAGGATGGTTCACCATATGCAAATCAATAAATGTGGTACATCGCATAAACATAATTAAAGACAAAAAACATATGATCATCTTAAAATAGATGCAGAAAAACCCTTTGATAAAATTCAGGATCGCTTCATGATAAAAATCCTCAACATAGAAGGAACATACCTCAACATAATAAAGGCCATACATGACAAATCCCCCACAAACATCACATTCAGTGGGGAAAAAATTGAAAGCATTCCCTCTAAGAACTGGAACAAGACAAGGATGCCCACTTTTACCACTCTTACTTCCCATAGTACTGGAAGTTCTTGCCAGAGCAATCAGGCAAGAGAAAAAAAGAAAAACATCAAAATTGGAAAAGACAAAGTCAAATTATCCCTGTTTTCTGATGATATGATCTTATATCCAGAAAACCCTAACAACTCCACCAGAAAACTCTTAGATTTGATAAATGAATTAAGTAAAACTTCAAGATGCAAAATCAACTTGCAAAAATCAGTAGCATTTTCACATACCAATAATGATATAGTTGAGGAACATATCAAGAAGGCAATCCCATTTACCTAGCAGTGTATTTAACCAAAATACCTAGGAGTAAATTTAACCAAGGAGGTGAAAGAGCTCTACAAGGAAAAGTACAAAATACTGATAAAACAAATTGTAGATGATAGAAATGGAAAAACATCCCATGCTAATATAGTTTGAATATTTGTCCCAAACCAAATCTCATGTTGAATTGTAATCCCCAATGCTGGAGGTGGGGCCTGGTGGAAGGTGTTTGGATCATGGGACAGAATCCCTCATGGCTTGGTGCTATCTTTGTGATAGTGAGTTCTCATGAGATCTGTTCTTTTAAAAGTGTATGGCACATCCCACCTCACTCTCTCTGTTGATTTTGCTCTGGCCATGTGATGTGCCTGCTTCCCCTTCAATTTCCACCATGATTTTAAGCTTCCTGAGGCCTCCCTAGAAGCCAAGCAGATGCCAGCACCAGGCTCCCTATAAATCCTGTAGAACCATGAGTCAATTAAACCTCTTTCTTTTAAAAACTACCCAGTGTCAGGTATTACTTTATAGTAATGTAAGAACAGCCTAAAACAGAAAATTGATACCAAGGAAAGGGCATTGCTATAAAGACACCTGAAAATGTGGAAATGGCTTTGAAACTGGGTAATGGGCAAATGTTGGAAGAGTTTGGAGGGCTCAGAAGAAGACAGAAAGACGAGGAAAAGTTTGGAACTTCTTAGAGACTGGTTAAGTAGTTGTGACCA
This sequence comes from Homo sapiens, assembly GCF_000001405.40. NCBI lineage: Eukaryota > Metazoa > Chordata > Mammalia > Primates > Hominidae > Homo > Homo sapiens. Next base: position 208,958,508 of record NC_000001.11, read on the forward strand.
AAATGCTGATAGTGATATGGACAGTAAAGTATAGGCTGACAAGGTCCCAGATGGTGATGCGGAACTTATTGCGAACTGGAGCAATGGTAATGTGTGTTATTCCTTAGCAAAAAACTTGGCTGTGTTGGAAGTTTGAATTTCATGTTGATGATTTAGAGTATCTGGGAAAATAAGTATCTAAGAAGCAAAGCATTCAAGATGTGGCCTAGCTGCTTTTAACAGTCTCAGATGTGGGAGCAAATAAATGACTTAAAGTTGAAATTTATATTTAAACAGGAAGCAGAGCATAAAAGTTTGGAAAATTTTCAGCCTAGCCATGTGGCAGAGGAAGAAAAAGCTGTTTTGGGAGAGGAATTCAAGCAGGCTCTGGAGCAGCTGCTAGCTAGAGATATTTGCATAACTAAAAGGGAGCCAAGTGCTACTATTAAAGACAATGGAGAAAAGGCCTCAAAGGCATTTTATAGACCTTGTGGCAGTCCCTCCCATCACAGGCCCAGAGGCCTAGGAGGGAAGAATGGTTTCATGGACCAGGCACAGGGCCCCACTGACCTGCACAGCCTTGGGACACAGCCTCCCACATCCTGGCCACTCTAGCTCCAGCTGTGACTAAAGGGGGCCCAGATGCAGCTTGGGCTGTTGCTCTGGAGAATGCAAGCTGTAAGCCTTGGGAGCTTCTACGTGGTGTTAAGCCTGCAGGTACACTGAATGCAAGAGTGGTAAATTCTTGGCAGCCTCTGCCTAGTTTTCAGAGGATGCATAAGAAAGACTGGGGGTCCACCCAGTCTCAGGTATTTCTTTATATCAATGTAAGAACAGTCTAATAAACATGCTCATGGATTGAAAGAATTAATATCATTAAAGTGGCCATACTGCCCAAAGTATGGAATATAGAGGTTCAATGCCATCCCTAGCCAAATACCAATGTCATTTTTCACAGAATTAGGAAAAACAATTCTAATGTTCATGTGGCACCAAAATTGAGCATGAATAGCCAATGCAATTATAAGCAAAAAAGAATAAAGCTGTAGGCATCACATTCCCTGACTTCAAATTATACTACCAGGCTATAATAACCAAAACAGCATGGTACTAGTATTAAGAATAGACACACTGATCAATGGAACAGATGAAAACCCAGAAATAAAGCCACATACTTACAGCTAACTGATTTTTGAAAAGTCAACAAGAATATACACTGGGAAAATAACACTCTTTTCAGTAAATGGTGCTGGTAAAAGTGGATTGTCATAAGCATGAGAATGAAACTGGACCCCTATGTCATTATATACAAAAATCAACTCAAGATGGATTAAAGACTTGAATGTAAGTCTTGAAATTATAATAATACTGGAAGAAAACCTAGAGAAAGGTTTTCTAGACATTGGTCTTTGCAAAGAATTCATGACCAAGACCTCAAAAGCACAAGTAACAAAAAACAAAAAGAGACAAATGGGACTATGTTAAACTAAACAGCTTCTGCACAGAAAAAGAAATAATCAGCAGAGTGAATAGGCAACCTGTGGAATGGAAGAAAATATTTGCAAACTATACATCTGACAGCAGACTAATATCCAAAATTTATGAGGAACTCAAACAATGCAACAACAACAAAACTCGAAATAATCTTTAAAAAGGGGGTTAAGGACATGAATAGACATTTTTCAAAAGAAACAAATGGCCAACAAGCACATTTTAAAATGTTCAACATTATTAATCATCAGAGAAATGCAAATTAAAGCCAGAATGAGATTTTATCTTACACTAATCAGAATAGATATTACTAAAAAGACAAAAAAAAAAAAACAACACATTGTAGAGGATGCAGAGAAAAAGGAACACTTATACACTGTTGGTGGGAATGAAATTTGTACAACCTCTATGGAAAAAAGTATAGTGATTTCTCAAAGAACTAAATACAGAACTACCATATGATCCAGCAATCTCACTACTAAGTAGCTACCCAAAGGAAGATACAGCAGTGTATCAAAAAGATACTTGCAGCCATATGCTTATCAAAGCACTATTCACAATAGTCAACATATGTAGTCAACCTCAGTGTCCATCAGTGGAGTATTGGATAAAGAAAATATGGTGTATATGCACAATGGCCTACTATTTCACCATAAAAAGAATGAAATCCTGTCATTTGCAGCAACATGGATAGAATTGGAGGACATTATCTTAAATGAAACAACTCAGAAAGACAATACCACATGTTCTCGCTTATAAGTGGGAGTTAAATAATGTGTAAACATGGAAACAGAGCATAGAATGATGGACAGTAGAAACTTGAGGTGTGTGGGGGAGTGCAAGGGAGGTGGATGATGGGAAGTTGCTTGTTGGGTTCAATGTGGGTTGCTCCAGATGCACTAAAGGCCCTTACCTTACCACAGTGCAATATATCAATATAGCAAAAGTGCAGTTGTGCCCCATGAATATATTCAAATAAAAATAATAAATAAATATGTCTAGAGAAAATTACACAATTTTGCTGAATACATTTGTGATCTTAAGCAAGCCAGTAAGCCATTGGTTTTGTAAGGCAATATTTCCCAAATCCTTTCATCCTCTTACTTGTAGTTGACCACTTCACACCTTTTCTACTCTCTTCAAACTTCTATTATCTCCTCCCCAATTATCACCTTGGAGTAATGGCCTTGCTTCCCATTTGACTAAGATAACAGGGTAACCAGAAATGCATTCCCAACCACCTACCCACAGCTGTCACTGAATGGTTGCCCTATCCTTCTGTTTTCATGGATGAATAGTCTGTGCTTGCTAAGCTTTTCCACTCCTTTCATCTACCCCAGCAATTCTCCATCTGCCTCTCACAACATCAATTTTTCTCTCATGACTGATGATTCCTACAATTGAACAATCATGCTATAATTGGCAATCGTTTTTGGCTCAGGTTGCAAAACTTGGGGGTCATTTCGACTCTGCTCCTTTTCTTGTACCCCTTCTCTGATCAACTGACAAATATAGTAAGTTCTATTTTAAACATATGTTCAGAATCCAACAACTTTTTACCACCTCCCCAGGTACCACTCTTGTCCAAGCTATGCCATCTCTTGCTGGGATTATTACAATAGTTTATTAACTAATCTTCCTGTTTCTTCCCTTATGCTTTCTCATTTATTTCCAACAAATCATTGAGAATGATTCTTTTAAAATGTAAGTTAGTAAAGTCACTCCCCTGTCTAGAACTTACAAAGTTTCTTTAATACGTTCAAATCTGTTTCCCCCAGTACCTTGATGATTTTATCTCTAATACCCTCCACCTTGCTCACTCCATTCTGGCCATAGTAGCTTCCTGGATTTTCCTTGGACTCAAGAAACACATCTCCACCTAAAGACCTTTGCATTTGTTTCTCCATCTCCCTAGAACACGCTTTCCCTCAGATATCCTAATTGCTTTCACCTATACTTCCTCAGATCTCTCCTTACATGTTGTCAGTGAGATTTTTTTTAATTGATTTTTTTTTTCAGAGATAGAGTCTCGCTCTGTTGCCCAGAGCTGGAGTGCAACGGCGCAATCACTGCAACATCCGCCTCCCAGGTTCAACCAATTCTCCTGTCTCAGCCTCCCAAGTAGCTGGGATTACAGGCACGCACCACCACGCCTGGCTAATTTTTGTATTTTTAGTAGAGACGGGGTTTCATCATGTTGGCCAGGCTGTTCTCAAACTCTTGACCTTGTGATCTGCCTGACTCAGCCTCCCAAAGTGCTCGGATTACAGGCATGAGCCACCGTGCCCAGCCAAAAAAAAAATGATTTATTTTTATTGATACATAATCATTGTATATTTATGGGATACATGTGATATTTTGATACTTGCGTACAACGTATAATAATTAAATCAGGGTATTTAGGATATCCATCACCGCAAACAGTGATCATTTCTTTGTGTTGGAAAAATTTAAATCTTTTCTAGATATTTTAAAATATGCTATATATTATTGTTAACTATAATCACCATACTGTGCTATCAAACACTAGATCATATTGCTTCTATCTAACCATATGATTGCACCCATTAACCAACCTCTCTTTTTCCCCCTACCCCTGTTTCCAGGCTCTGGTAACTACCATTCTACTTTCTATCTGTATGAGATCCACTTTTTTAGCACTAACATATGAGTGAGAGCATGTGATATTTGTCTTTCTGTGCCTGGATCCTGTCACTTAACATAATGACTCCCAGTACCATCCATGTTGCTGCAAATGACAAGAGTCTATTCTTTACTCTTTTTCATGGCTAAATCTGTTATGTATATATACCATATTTCCATTCATTTGTTGATGAACACTTAGGCTGATTCCATGTCTTGGCTATTATGAAAAGTGCTGCAATAAACATGGGGGAGCAGATATCCCTTTGATATACTGATTTCCTTTCCTATGGATAAATACCCAGAAGTAGGATTGCTAAATTGTATGGTAGTTCTATTTTTAGTTTTTGAGAAATTGCCATACTTTATTCCCTAGTGACTATACTAATTTACATTCCCACCAACAGTGTACAAGTTACTTCTACTCCACATCCTTGCCAGCATTTGTTAACTTTTGTCTTTTTGACATTAGCCATTTTAACTAGGATAAGATAGTATCTCATTGTGGTTTTGATTTGCATTTCCCTGATGATTAGTGATGTTGAGCATTTTTTCACATATCTGTTGGCCATTTTTATGTCTTCTTTTGGGAAATGTCTGTTCAGATTCTTTGCCCACTTTTAATGAGATTATTTGGTTTTTCACTATTGGGTTGTATGAGTTCCATGTATATTCTGGATATTAGTTCCTTGTCAGATGAATAGTTTGCAAATATTTTCTTCCATTCTCCAGCTTTTCTCTTCCCTTTAATGATTGTTTTGTTTGCTGTACAGAAGCTTTTTTGGTTTAATATGGTCCGATGTGTCTATTTTTGGTTTTGTTGCCTTGCTTTTAAAGTCTTAGCCATAAAATCTTTGCCTAGACCCATTTCCTGAAGCATTCCCCCTGTTTCCATCTAGTAATTTTATAGTTTCAGATCTTACGTTTGTCTTTAATCTATTTTGAGTTGATTTTTGTATACGGTGAGATTAGGGATCTAGTTTTATTCTTCTGCATGTAGATATCCAGTTTTTCCAGCACTGTTTCTTGAAGAGGGTGTCTTTTTACCAAAATATGTTTTTGGCTCCTTTGTCAAAGATCCGTTGGCTATAAATACATTGATTTATTTCTGGGTTCTCTATTCTGTTCTATTGGTCTATGTGTCTCAATACCACCCTATTCTGATTACTATTGCTTTTGGAAGTTTTTTGTTTGTTCATTTGGTTTTTGAGACAGGGTCTCAATGTGTCATCCAGGCTAGAGTGAATAGCACAAGCATAGTGCACTGCAGCCTCAAACTCCTGGCCTCAAGTAATCCTCCAGCCTCAGACTCCTCAGTAGCTGAGACTATAGGCACACATCATGACACCCAGCTAATTTTTTATTTTTTTGTAGAGATGGGTCTTGCTATGTTGTCCAACTGGTCTCAAGTGATCTTCCTGCCTTGGCCTCCCAAAATGCCAGGATTATAGGCATGAGCCACCATGCCTGGCCTACTATCACTTTGTAGTATATTTTAAAGTCAGGTAGTATGAAGCCTCCAGCTTTGTTTTTGTTCAGTATTCCTTTGGCTATTCGTGGTCTTTTGTGGTTACATATAAATTTTAGGATTGTTTTTGCTATGTCTGTGAAGAATGTCATTGGTATTGTGATAGGGATTGCATTGAAATATAGATTACCTGTGGATTGTATGGTCATTTTAATGATAGTAAATGATATTAATCCTTTCAATCCATGAGCATGGGATGTCTTTTTATTTGCTTGGGTCCTCTTTAATTTCTTTCTTTCTTTCTCTCTTTCTTTCTTTCTTTCTTTCTCTCTTTCTTTCTTTCTTTCTTTCTTTCTTTCTTTTTTCTTTGAGACGGAGTCTCGCTCTGTCACCCAGGCTGGAGTGCAGTGGCATAATCTCAGTTCACTGAAACCTCCGCCTCCCAGGTTCAAGCAATTCTGCTTCAGCCTCCCAACAGGCACGTGCCACCACGCCCCACTAATTTTTTTTTTTTTTTTGTATTTTTAGTAGAGGTGGGTTTTCACCATGTTAGCCAGATGGTCTTGATCTCCTGACCTCGTGATCTGCCCACCTTGGCCTCCCAAAGTGCTGGGATTACAGGCATGAGCCACTGCACCTGGCCCTCTCTTTAATTTCTTTAATCAATTTTTTTTTTTTTTGAGATGGAGTCTCACTCTGTTGCCCAGGCTAGAGTACAGTGGTGTGATCTCGGCTCACCGCAAGCTCTGCCTCCCAGGTTCACACCATTCTCCTGCCTCAGCCTCCTGAGTAGCTGGGACTACAGGCACTCGCCACCACGCCCGGCTAATTTTTTTGTATTTTTTAGTAGAAACAGGGTTTCACTGTGGTAGCCAGGATGGTCTCGATCTCCTGACCTCATGATCCACCCACCTTGGCCTCCCAAAGTGCTGGGATTACAGGTGTCAGCCACGGCACCTGGCCTCTTTAATCAACTTTTTGTAGTTGTTGGTGTAACCTTCTTGATTAAATTTATTCATATTTTAATTTTTTTGTAGCTATTGTAAATGGGATTGTTTTCCTGATTTTCATCTCAGCTAGTTTGTTATTGGTGTATAGAAACAGTACTGATTTTTATATGTTGATTTTGTGTTTTGCAACCTTACTGAATTTGCTTATCAGTTTTGAGAGTTTGTTGGTGGATTCTTTAAGTTTTTCTCTATATAAGATAAGGCTGTCTGAAAGGAAGGACAATTTTACTTCCTTTTTTCCAATTTTGGTGCCTTTTATTTCTTTCTCTTGCCTAAATGCTCTGGCTGGGACTTCCAGTACTGTGTTGAATAAGAGTGGTGAGAGTGGGTATTCTTGTCTTGTTCCAGTTCTTACAGGAAAGACTTTCAGCTTTTCCCCATTCACTATGATGTTAGCTGTGGGTTTGCCATATATGGCCTTTCAATTCTCCCTTTCCAAGTACTCCCTATTTCTGTGACTCAATTCAGTTTTCTTCCTAGCACTGATCACTATTTGATGTATTGCATATTCACTTATTTGTTCATTGTCTGCCTCCCTCCCCTGGAGTGAAAAACTCTATGACAGCAGAGATTCAAGTCTGTTTTTTAAGTGCTATATCCCCAGTAATAGAAGAATGTCTGGTATATGGTGGGCCCACACATACTTGTTAAATGAAAAAAGACCTGACCAAAAGAAAGAATAAGTTAAACAAGTACATATTAGGAACTGATGATGTACCCAACTATACTAAGTGCTATGAGAAAACAGATATTTGCTCCCAAGTCCTTAAGGAACCTATAATTAGTTGGGTAACAAGATTACCATCAAACTATGTATTAATATCTTTTAGCCCACAGGACTGGGGTCAAGCTTAGATCACAGCAATAGCCTACATCTTTGGCAGACAGGAAGATGTTTGATGAGGCTTCATAGGAGAATCTTCTTTCACCTTGGATATTAACAAGCAAATGACCCTTCTCACTAAAGGAAGCAAAGTAAAACTTTTACCTTCCTTGTAAAGTATCAAAGAAAATGCAGAGAATGCAGTAGGGAGAGAGTACTGAAGGTCTGGCAGGAGCCACAGTGTGTAGATAAAAATGTAAGCAGATGACAGAGGGGGAGACACAGACATGGAGAATGAGAAAGAGGACACATTCCAAAGGGAATATATGAAACAGGCAGCAAGTGCTATGCAAAGTTGCTGAGGAAATATAAAGCTTCCATAAAATTTTATGTAAACCAACTATGCAAACCAACATAACAAAACTTTGTAATCAGGTCCTCAAAGAAGGCATCAGTCATCACAATCCCAGATGTACCAGGACTATTCTCATTGGGACACACACAGAGAGAAAGATATTTTAAAAATAGACACACATACCCAAGACAGGAAAAAAGAAGCATCCAGTTTATCCAAATCCAAGACTTTTCTCTTGGCCACAATAGTGAAAGATTCTTAAGTTAGGCCGGACGCAGTGGCTCATGCCTGTAATCCCAGCACTTTGGGAGGCCAAGGTGGGTGGATCACCTGAGGTCAGGAGTTCAAGATCAGCCTGGCCAACATGGTGAAATCCCATCTCTACAAAAATACAAAAATTAGCTGGGCATGATGGCGGGTGCTTATAATCCCAGCTACTCAGGAGGCTGAGGCAGGAGAATTGCTTGAACCCGAGAGGTGGAGGTTGCAGTGAGCCGAGATCACACCATTGCATTCCAGCTTGGGTGACAAAGCATTCTGTTTCAAAAAAAAAAAAAAAAAAAAAAAAGAAAAGAAAGATTCTTATGTTAATATGCTTACTGCAGAGAGACTAGAAGTTGTTATTAAAATTACACACTTTAGCTTTTATAGATTCCTTAAAAATTTATGTCAAGGTTAACTATGTAGAAAATTCCATGATTTCTTTCTTATAGAAACATACAGGTTAATCTATTCTCAAATAGTACTTAGCCCTATCCTTTCATTTATTTATGAATTCATTCATTTAAAAACTATTAATTCAGTTCCTATTGTTCCCCAGGCTCTATCTTCATCTCTGCTGTCATGGAGCTTACATTCTAACGGGAGGTGACAGACAAAAAATAAATAACCTAGCATTTCTATAGTACAGCAGACAGTAAGAAGTGCTATGGAGAAAATTAGAAGACAGAAGACCGGTGAAAGGTAAATAGGCTTCTGGTTAAATAGGTAGTTTTAGAAGGTCTCACTAAAATAGTAACATTAGAGCAAAACCCAAAGGAAGGAAAGAAGTGGTTATTTGGAAATGTGGATAGGAAGCATTCCAAATAAAAGAACAAGCAAAGATTAAACACTCTGAAGTATCATCAGGTTTTCTTTAGTTGAGGAGCAGCAGAGATGCTGACATGGTTGGAACACTGAGCTGGGGGAGAGTGAGAGATGAGGTCAGGAAGGTAGCCATGAGCTTCATCATACAAGATCTTCTCAGCTATTGGAGGAACTTTTGCTTTCACTCTGAGTGACATGGGAAACCAATAGACGCTTTTGAAGAGAGGAGTTTCATGACGTGGCATAAAGTCTGAAAGTTTTATTTCGAGGATTGTGTGGAGAATGTGCTGAGGCTTAAGGCAGGGGGCCGGAGCAGAATTGGGAGTGCCAGATGTACCAGGACTATTCTCATAGGAGGCAACTGCAATAATCTGGAAGAGAGATGATGGTAGCTCCGAAGCTGGGAAGAAGTGACTGTACTTTAGATACAGTTAAAGGTTGAGCCTATGAAATTTACAAGTGGATTAAATATGTTTGGGAGAGAAAGAGAGGAAGAAAGGATAAGTCCAAGGCTTTTATTTATTTATTTTGAGACAGGGTCTTACTCTGTCACCCAAGTTGGAGTGCAGTGGTGCAATTATAGCTCACTGCAACCTCAAATTCCTGAGTTCAAGTAATCCACCTGCTCCAACCTCCCAAAATGCTTGGATTACAGACATGAGCCACCACACCTGGCCAAATCCAAGGCTTTTAGCCAGAACTACTAAGAAGGCCTATGTTGCCATTTATGGAGAGGGAAGATCACATAACGAGCAGGTTTGGGGGAAAAAGTATTTCAGTTTTGGACATATTGTGTCAAGATGCCTATTAGATATCCCAAAGGAAATACACAAATCTAGAGTTCTAAGAAGAAACAAACTCCCTTATGCTATTTTATTATAATATACGACACTAGGCTGAACTGACTCTTTTTATCTATAATAATCAAGATTCTGAATTCTAGTTGGGGGAAACTGGAGAAACTACATTTCTTAGAATACTCTCTCTTAAGGTTTATTTCTGCCAAAGTGTGATACATATTGCAATGATTAAGTGCTAAACTGTGTGACACCTATTCTAAATGCTAAACCAGTGTACAGGGGAGGGAATTCATTGGGAATCAGAGTCATCAAGAGAAACTGCACTGTGAAGAGCGAGTGGTTTGGGAAGCATCATCCTGGGTGTGGCTAGGACTTTCTAGGGAGAGGACCAGCAGAAGCAAAAGTGCAGCAACAAGGAAGAACATAGAGCAGGGATACACTTGCAACGAAATGTCCCAAAGGAAGAAGGGCTTTCACCCAGTCTGGCATTCCTCAAACATGCAAATGATCCTTGGACTCTGGGATGTGAATTACCCATGCCACTGAATTTTTCAGAAAATTCCCAGAGAAATGGGGTCTCCCTGGGGAAAAAGATAAGCATAATCTTCCCAGAAAGCATATTTAATGGGGTCATGTGCTTTTAAATATTAAATTGATGCATTTTAATATTATTCTCAAATACTTTTCCCTTGCAACCTTCTACCTCCAAACCACTCTGGAGTAATGATACATTTACATTATACATTTACATAGCATAATGGGAACCTAACTCCCTGGCAAGACTAAACTTGAAAAACAGATATTTGTAAACTTCCAGTTAGCATATATCAAGGATCAAAATAGGCCCGTATGTTTTATATAACAGTGGTCCAGGCAAAAAAGTCAGTGCGTGTGTGATGATGAAAGGGTATTATATTAGTATTTAGAGTGAAAATGCTCTGGCCACTTGGAGCAGAAGTATTTAAGAATATTAGATAGTTTATGAAATTGTCCGACAAGCCAGAGAATCAGGCTCAGAAGCAGCATCTCCAGGAACAACTTGTAAATCATACCACCAGAATGCGCATTAAGAGTGATTCTGCTGCCATGGAGCAGAAGAGCCAGCAAGCACACCAGGACCTCTGTGACTCAGTAGCTCTCTGCTCTGTCGCCCATATTCACCGGGAAACCATGGCAGACAGCACCTCCTTCTCCACACCTGTCTTCTAATTCCAGGTTTCACACTGATGGTGCCTCTAATAACTGAGTCTAGGTCACAGGCCATAAGGAAGACTAGAAAACCAAGTTCTGGCTTCTACTTTTGAGGACAGAAGGTGGGAAATGTAGAGGGGGGTGAGCAGGGAAACAAAGAAGCAATGCTGTTCAAAGATGCTGAACATCCATAAAAGGTATAAGTGTCCAAAAAGGGGGAAAGTTTCCCACATGAGGCCATTGAATGGCAAAGGGATAGCAAAGAGAAGGGGGAGGGAGGAGGTGAGCAGGGTGACCATGGGCACCTTGGTGTTTCCACTCTCTGAACTTAGGCTTGGAATGCACAGACACATCAGATCATGAGGATGGGGCATATACATGGAGCAGCAGGACCCTCTGCCTCTAGTCCCTGTTTTCCTTAAATTGCCCCTGCAACAATCAGCATCCCAGCTATACTAACAGGGTGGGAAGCTTGGTCAAGGAGCTGTAATCCTGGTGCTGTTGCTTTTCTAGACCACCTTAGACTGAAAAGAATTAATTTTTTTCTTCCTATTCTGCAAGTTGGAGGCTAGAGAGGAAAATTGCAGGAGTTATAGATGAAACAAAGAAGATTAATTTTTCCAAGTTGTCATGAGAGTTGATTTTATGACTCTATCTACACAACCAAAGAGGGTGGTTTGCACAAAGTGCTTTCAGAAATCATAACAAAGAAATAATCACAGACAGGGAAGTGATGGATCAGAGAGCAAGCCTCTGAAAACACTGTCTAACTTTTTACTTCCCGGAGAGAGGGTGTTGCTCCTAAAAGATGAAAAAAACGCCACCTGAGTCCCCAGAACCAGCAGCATGAAAGGAAAATGGTGGCAAAGAAAGCAGCTCAGTCCTGAGAGGCAGTTCTGGGACACTGTATTGGACCAGACCAAAAAGTTATGAGGGAGAGAGGTAGAAAATTGTTCAGAAAAGAGAAGTGGTACTGCAGTAGCTGGGGAGCAGGGTGCGGCTGGATTGGGAAAAGCCTGGGGTGAAGGAGCTGCAGAGGTTCTTAGGAGTCAGGGAGAGAAAACGAGACTTGATGCAAGAGGAAATAGAAAGTGGCCAGGTGCGGTGGCTCACACCTGTAATCCCAGCACTTTGGGAGGCTGAGGAGGGCAGATCACCTGAGGTCAGGAGTTCAAGGCCAGCCTGGCCAACATGGCAAAACCCTGTCTCTACTAAAAATACAAAAATTAACTGGGCGTGGTGGCGGGCACCTGTAATCCCAGCTACTCGGGAAGCTGAGGCAGGAGAATTGCTTGAACCCAGGAGGCAGAGGTTGCAATGAGCCAAGATCGTGCCACTGCGTTGTAGCCTGGGTGACAAGAGCAAAACTCCCTCACACACACACACACACAAAGTGAAAAGTGAGCAGAGTTTTTACTATCAGAAGACAATCAGGACAAAATAAGCATTAAGGAAGTGTATGCTGCTGTGGGTCGAAGAGAGGAAAATGCAGACTGTAGGGTCTCTGACAGAATTCCTGGGGAGAACTGATATGACCTCCAGGAGGGTAAAAACAGTAGAAGGGGAAAAGAGGCCACATACATTTCAGAAAATGATGTCAGATGCTGTAGGAAGGTAGCGATCAGGAAGCAAAATGAGTAGACAATGACTTTGTGGGTTTAAGTGTCCTCAGTAGATAGGATACTGGAGAAGGAACTGATTGTGACTTTTTTTGTGGCGAGGGTAGAGGCCTGGAAAATGATTGTGCTGAATTTGAAGTGATGGCCAAAAACCAAACTTTGTTTAATGAGGTAAATATGTTTAGAGTGCATGGATGTAGTCCAGGTCAGAGATCAGCAAAAATGTGCAGACCACCCTCGTGCGCAGATCTGCGGGACTACAGATTCCATAGCATTCTTCTTCCTCCGAGCTCACCAGGCTTCCTGCAGTGTTCTCCTTTCTTCCTTGTGGAATTATTTGTGGATAGGAATCTTGTGGAATTATTAAAACAGTTTAAAACATGAAGACTGGAAAACAGAAAACTTCAGCTATATGTCCCCAAATCACAGAGTCTCCGTGGGAGAGAGACTAAAATTAGACTTCCTTGATCTCCTATTACATTCTTTCATAAGATCACTTGCCGATCAAAAAAATACCTTTATTATGCAAACAGTGAGAAAAGAGTTAGAGAAAAAAACTATTCTTTTCGTAGTTTAATGTTGATGAAAGCACTTCTGACCAGAACTAAAGTCACTGCTACAAAGAGAACAGTCCCAGAATGCAGACAAAGCTAGGTCAATGAGACATGGGTTTAATTGTCTATATTTTGTTAACTGCACATTTTGCCTCCGTAAATGCTGCTGTTGCCCCACTTACAGGGTGCAGCACTCTCTCCTGTGAATTTCTCACTGGGTTAAGGAAGACAGTATCTGAATCTCTAATCTCTGATAGGTCATACAGTCACCCACTGTAGGCAATAGTCCCCTAAGGGGTCCCAGTCTCTCAGTATTGGATTCAGAAACCGTGTGACTGCAATTTAGCCATAAAAGTGATCCTGACTTTTTCATGAGCACAGAGCAGTCTGTGTGAAGGGTTAAGCTGGCTCGATTGGCTACATGTCCTAGTTAGCCGGAATATGGTAGGCGTTCAAGGTCTGTTAAACTGAAGAATAGGATTCTGTATGGCAGATATTAAACTGAGTGTGTTATGCAGATTATCTCATTTATAAGAATCACATAAGGTAGTGATTTGCCTCCAAATTTTTCAGCTGAGATCAAGACCCAGAAAGACTGCCTAACTTGGCCATGGTCCTATAAATAAACTTAGGTTGTCTACCACAAAGACTCCATCTTTCCACCATCCCAAGTTACCTCACATGCTCCTGGTCAGACAGATCATCCTACATTCAAATGAATGTAGATAAAAATGTCTCTGATATATTCTTTTCTTGAGTGAGGGTTTAGAAAAAGTGCAGGTTTGTGCTCAAAAATACCTATGTGAACAAATAGGAAGCAATAAAATGGGGCTCTGTAGCCAATCCATAGTTGGTGATGTAATAATCGCCTTTGTAAATTCACAGATTCTTGTATTTGGACAAACAATTGTTTGACCATGGGAAGATACACTCCCAACATGTAGGTGGCCTCATCAGAAGGTAAAAACTGAAGAAAAAAATCATTCAAACTCCCATATACTAGATCTTTCTCATTTAATCTTGAGGTTTCCATGTTGAGAGGAGTGAAAGGAGATTTCTGTACCCATTAGCCAAGATTGTCTGAAACAAATCCCAGGAAGATGTTTTGAAAGAAGAATACATAAGCCTTATGACTCAGTTCTCAGTAGCTTCTTCAGTATCTTTCTTTTAAAATATCATTTTAAAGTCTTGCATTATAGCACTAAAAAAGCTAAAAGAATGCTAAAATTGCACTAAATCCAACCACGCCAGTAAGTACAGCTATTTCCATTTATTCCTATTAGGAACTTGTGCATTCAAAAACATAATTTTATATCATTTAAACCATAGTATAGGTACAATTAGATTGTTTAACCTAAAATTACACAATAAATATTTTCTGTGTTACAAAATAAGCCTCAAATCTATGATTTTAATGGCTGCATAATATAGTATTATAGTGCATGATATTGTCATCTATTTAACCATTCCTATACTGTTCAAATTGTTTCCAATTTCTCAGTATTGAAAACAATGCTAAAATGAAGACTCTTCATGTCCACAGCTTTTTCCTTCTTTAAGACTATTTTCTTAGGTTATATTGCCAGAAGTATGATTATAGAGTCAATTTCATATATTACAGAGTTTTTGATTCCAACTGATGTATTTCTTTCTAAAAATATCCTACTATTATAATATTGCTGTCTTCTGAGTGTATGTAAAACTTTCACCAAGATCTCACTGTTACTGTTACTGTGCAGAATTCCTATTTGGAAGCCCTAAACCCCAATGTGATAGTATTTGGAAATGAGGCCTTTGAGAGGTAATTAGGTTTCGATGAGGTCATGAGGATTGGGTCCCTATAGTGGGATTAGTGCCCTTACTTCTAAAAATAAAAAAAAATAAAAATAAAAGACTCCAAACAGCTTGCTTCTCTGTCTCCAACATGTGAAGATACAATGAGCAGAGAGCCATCTGCAAGCCAGCAAGACAGCCCTCACCAGAAAGAGAATCTGCTGCCACCATGATCTTGGACTTCCAAGACTCCAGAACTGTGATAAACAAATATCTGTTGTTAAGCCACCTGGTCTATGGCATTTTATTACAGCAGCCTGAGCTGACTAATATGCATTATATTTTCTGTTTTCAAATCTGGTTGGTATAAAACCTTATTCCCTTTTCATTATTTGACTGACCCATTTGAACTCTAATCACATATTTACCTGTTACTTCAATTTATATATAACGTTTCAATGTCTCTATTTGTAAGTGCAATTGAAAGTTGACAGAGGCTTCCGTGGGGATAAAATGAACAGTGGTACAAACTGGCCTTTATGGATAGAGATAGTATCTGTGAAGTGGGGGAGCAGGAGCGGGACAAAGGATTTAACTTATATTTTCTTACCTTATTAATTCATAATTTTTGAGCATCTGCAATGTGGTAGGTATTGTAGTAGGTGCATAGAAACAGAACAGCAGAGAAAAATAGGTTTCCTGCTCTCACATACCTTACAATATAGTGAGGGAATCAAATAAGAAAAAAAGGAAATTATAATACCACATGAGAAGTTTGTGTTGAAAATAAGTTCAGGGACTAAGGAAGCACAGTGAGGGAGGGGCCAAATCAGGTATTAAAAGGGAAAGGAAGGCATTCAGTTAGAGGTGACATCAAAATGGAAACTGGGCAAGCTAAAGTTGGAAAGATGAAGAGGAAAGCAGGGTGTGGTGGCTTACACCTGTAATTTTACCTACTCAGGAAGCTGAGGTGAGAGAAACCCTTGAGCCCAGGAGTTTGAGACCAGCCTGAGCAACATAGCAAGACCCCATCTCTAAAAACATATATACATACATACATACAACATAATAAATAAAACTAGCCAGGTGTGGTGGCACATGCCTGTAGTCCCAGCTACTAGGGAGGCTGAGGTGGAAGGCTTGAGTCCAGGAGTTTGAGGCTTCAGTGAGCCATGATCATGCCACTGCACTCAGACTGGGTGACAGGATGAGACCCTATCTCTAAAAAGTAAGAAAGAAAGATGAAACAGGAGCATGGAAGAAGACAGGATATAATGGGGGGACTAGAGAGAGTTCTAAGTAGAGGCAGATAACATGGGCAAATGCTCAGAAGCAAAAGAGAGCTAGCCTAAGTATGGAAAGGAATACCATAATATGGCTTACCAGAGCTTCCAGCAATCAAATATGGGTGAGATGATTCCCAGATCCTTTATCCCACTCCCGCCCCACACCCTCATGGATGCCATCTCTATCTGTAGAGGCCAAACTGCACCACTGTTCATTTTATCCCTACATAGCAACCTCTGCCAATTTTCAATTGCACTTGCAAATGGAGAAATTGAAAACCTGTGTTGCTTCTGGGTTGATATGGAGTGATAAGCCGGGAGCATCTGACTGGGCATGTTTTTCTTCATGTGTTGGAACAGAAAAGAATCTGCATAGATAGGCAGCATACAACAAATCACAAACCCAGCAGTGACTATAAAAGCATGGTCTTTCTTGTGTCTCCACCCCAGGCAAGCCTGCTCAATTCATTTCTTCAGACATCACTCCGAAATTGCCAGAGTGGTTTCCCACTGACAGACTTCATCGCTGTACTGCACATCTCTTCACTACAAATGGGGAGATGAGACAGAGACAAAAAGAGAAATGGATTTACTGTGCTGGGGAAGTTAAGCACACACTGGGTTGGAATTTCATTTCCACTGAATTAGAAGCTCTGGCTCAGCACGGATGACACAGTGATGCTCCTTTAATAACACAAAATAAATAAAACATGGAAAAGGTTTTCCAGTTTGTTTTGGGGGATGTTCATGCACACATTCTCTGCCTCTCTCTCTCCAGGAACATTGGACACTCTCTTATTGCCTTTGTGCTACTTCAAAGCTGCAAAGATTGACCTTAGCCTTAAATAAAGTCAGAAAATGCTTGAATCCCTGGGGAAACAACCCATAAAGCCTCAACAAATCCATCATTTTATCAAGTCCCAAGACCTGGGGAGAACAGACAACGCATCAAGCTTATAGCACCTTGGGTTGGGTGATCCTTGGGACACATCTGCTCTGTGAGACTAGAGATGTGCCTGAGAGAGGACAGGTAAGTCCTGTCTGAGCAGCATTCTCCTGCGGGCCCAGCACAGCTTCAGGAGCTCCTATGCAGGTCAAGGGTTGTTGTGGTGGTGTGGCCTGGCAAAAATTACAATGTAATTTCTAATCCTGCCCTTTGCTCATTCCAGCCCCAGGGAGGTCACCATTTTTCAGGTGTTCTCACCTTATCTCAAGCTCATTCCCCAACTAGCAAAGGGATTTTGAAAGGCATTGTAAAATACAGTGACTTTCTGGGTTTGGGGTGTTATTTTTTTGCTTTAACATAAGATATCTTTTAAATACTGTATATGTGTTACTGATAGAAGGGTGTTTTATGTAAGGTACTCCTTAAAAACCCAATATTCAACAACTTTCACCAAGAGGTGTACCACTATCACTTACCAACTTTGAGGCACTGCCTCCTTTAACCATTTTCTGACCTTATTTTCTCCCGATATGATTGACCAGGTATTTTGCTGTACTCAACAAGTCCTTTTTTTTTTAAATAGCACTATAACCCTTTCTTGAATTGATCCATTTACATGTCTAACTTTCCTACTAAACTATAAACTACTTGTGGCTGGTTGCATTTTCCAACAATGACCATGAAAGTATCTCTTATTATTCTACAGTGTGACCTGACACACCTTCCATTAAGAGATAGGATCTATGTCCTCTTCCTTGGACTCTAGCTGGGCTTGTGACTTGCATGTAACCAATACAACGCAGTGGAGTGATTCTGTATGACTTCTAAGAAAAAGTCAGAAAAGATTATACAACTTTCTTACAGTTAGGACATCCTCCTTTGGAATCACATAGGAAGTTCGACTACTGCATGGCCACCATGCAGCGAGGAAGCCCAAGCACATAAGAGGCCACATGAATGCTGACAAACAGCCCCAGCTGATGTCCCAGCCCACTGAGTTAATCTACTGCCAGAAATATGACTGCCAATTATACCTTCACATGGTGTTAGCTCTCAGCCATCTGGTCACCCCCAGCCTTGAGTTTTGTCAGCTGAGGCCAGACATTGTAAAGGAGAGCCACACTATCCTCACCATACCCTCTCTGAATTCCTGATCCACAGAATCTGTGAGCAAAATGTATAAAGCATGGCACTTTAAGGAGGTTCATTATAAAGCACTAGTTAACTAGAATACTACCAAGATAGAAACTATACCATCTATGTTTGTATTCTTAAAGTAAGGGTTCAATAAATGTTGATTGTATGAATGAATGCATATTGTTAAACAAACAAAAAAGCATGTGCAATCATGAACCCAGATGTTACATGTGCTAAGAGTAAACCTCACAACAAAGAACATCTTCTACAATGTTAAGCCTTAGGGGAACTGGGAATAAAAGCTAAAATATTATTAGAACTTATCAAACAAATCTGCCTGCTGCTGGTCAGAAATAGGCCTTGCTTTAGGGTGATACATATTTGCAGCTTCAAAAGAATGTTCTTTGTTGATATTTAATAATGTATAGATTCCTCACTTTGCAGTTTATCTTATGGTTTCTTTAATTTGGGTTGGGATTGCAAAGGAGCAGAGTGAAAATCAGGTATGATACATTTCTCATCTCTCTTGGATACATTCCCAGAGGTTCAGACTGAAATGACTCAAGGTCTTTTTCTATAAAAACAATTTTGAAACAGATCACTAACTCTTTGGTATTCACTGATTGAACAATAAAAATATAAGTTTTCTTTTAAAGGGTGAGAGGGATAAAGGAAGAGAAGAAAGAAAGAGATCCAGTTAATCACATTAGTTTCTGAACACATCCCTGTGAAGTGATAGGAATTGAGGACAAAGGAGAGAAACAAAAATGAAAAAAAACACAACTGCCACAAGCAGTTAGGACTACGGTTTTGTTTTGTATTGTTTAAATTTTTTTTCTCATTCCCTTTACCCTGGGCTAATTAGACACTGGACTGCATCTAGTGAGAATGGGCTAGGAGACTTTTGTACTTGGGATTCTGAGTTGGACCACTGCTCCTATGTAAACTTCTGTAACTGGGGCTATGGATTCTGTGATGTTGGGGAACTAGTCTGCTAGGTAGAACAAAGGTTTTATTTGCTGCATGGCAGTTTCATTAAATAAATCATACATTCATGCAGGCAAAGGAAATTAACAAGAAACTTTGCCTAGGAGGTTAGACATATTCTGCCGCACTTCAAATAAACTGGAGTGCACTTTGCAATTCAGAAGATGTATATATGCTGGAATGTGCAAAGGCAACACTATTTTATTTACACATATATATAGTGATAGCTGTATACAAATATTTGTGTACATATATGCATATGCATACAAATTTAATCTTTATGTGTATATACATTTTTAATCTTCTTTACAATGGAGAGCTAAAAAAAATCTGTATTTCTTATGCTTGCAACACACCACAAGCCTGTGAATCATCTTTGTTCCTTTAACAGTCATCTAAGTGATGATGGGAGTTGTATGTGGTACTAGGAAGGCAAGGAAAACAAAACATGAATCCTGTTCTTGGGCACCTCAATTCTAATTGGATAATGGAGAACACTCAAGCTGGCCTTAAGGCAAATTGTAAATGGCCTTAAGGCGATATATCCCGTGATATCAGAATTGCAGTTAACTCAGGAAGCATTTTATTAAGCACCTATTATTGCCAGTACTGGGCTTAATGTTGGAATTACAAAAAGGATTAACAAAAGCCCTTCCCTCCAATACATTATAATACAAAAAAGGGAAATAGAAATGCAAACAAATAATTGTAATCCAGTGGGAGATGTGCAAGAATAGAAATTTGCATAACATGGAAGTCAGCATGCAGGAGGAAGGGATTAACTTTGACTGGAGTGTAAAAGAAGAGAAAGAGATGGCTGAAGGCATAGGAAAGCCTCAGTAGACAGTGACATTGAAGCTGGGTTTTGAAGAATAAATGGAAGGTTCCAGGGGGAAATCATTAGTGAGATATTTCATGTGGAGAAAGCAGGATATGAAGTGATATAGTGATACTATTTTACATAGCATGCTTTGTTCAGAGAACTTCAAATATTGTTCATCATTGCTGGAGTGAAAACAACGCGTGAATATGGCACAGGTTGAAGGCAAAGAGAATAAAGGAGAAAAGAAAATGAAGTGAAGTAAGTGGGAAAAAGGGCTGGAGAAGTAGGGAGGAAGGAAGCCATACATTCTTCTGAATGTAAATAGATGAATGGTAAAGCAGTGGATGAAGAATGTTGACTGTGATACCCATTGATACGGTTTGGCTCTGTGTTCCCAAACAAATCTCATGTCAAATGATAATTCCCGTGTGTCGAGGGAGGGACCTGTAATCCCCATATGTTGAGGGAGGGAGGTGACTGGATAATGGGGGCAGGTTCCCCCATGCTGTTCTCATGATAGTCAGTGAATTCGTACAAGATGTGATAATTTTATAAGGGTTTGGAAGTTTCTCCTTTGTTCTTTCCTGCTGCCTTGTGAAGCAGGTGCCTGCTTCCCCTTCTGCCATGACTGTAAGTTTCCTGAGGCCTTCCCAACCATGCCGAACTGTGAGTCAAGCTTCTTTCCTTTATAAACGACCCAGTCTTAGGGAAGCCCTTTGTAGCAGTGTGAAAACAGACTAATGCATCCATAAACAATCTTTCTCCCTCACCTTCAGGTAGCAAGGAGTTGGAATGCATCGCTAAGAGTTTGAAAACCAGTAACTCTAGAAGAGTGAGAAGCAGCAAGATGTTTATCCTGAAGAAGAAATGATTTAGTTCAACAACGTTGCTGTCTTCAAATATTTTCAGAAGAGCAATTAGATTTATTTCAGGCACCTTTAGAGGGCCGGACTAAGAATAATGAGTGAGAAGGAAGTCAAACGTACTTTGACTCCATAAAAGGCAGAACTTTCTAACAGTCAGAGCTGTCCAAAGATTTTCTGGGCTATGTTGAAAGTTGGTAAGCATCCTATAGCTGAAGTGTTCAAGCAGAGGCATGCATGTTCCAACTGTCAGGGATGTCGTCGAGGCAATTACTACTTTGAGAACATGTCACCTTTTTTCCCTAAGGTTACTTCCATGTCCAAGATTCCATGATGAAGGTCACAAACACAAATATATTTAAATATACTTAAGGATAACATGAATAAGTAAAGTGTTCACATGAGAAAATAGGGAGTTCAAGAGGTTGTGGCTAACTGTACACAGTATATAATAATGTTCACATTTCTTTAAAAAAAATAAAAGAAACTATATAGAAGTCAGACAAAACCAGTCTGTGGACCTAATTTGACCTGCTGGCCTTCAATTTGTACTTTCTATTTTACAAGTCTTGAGGTCTAGGTTCTGGTCTAAGTTCTGTGACTCATTGGCTTTCTATAATCCTTGATCCTAGGCCAGTTCTCCCATTGTAGATCAGTTTCCTCATCTCTTCCATGAGGGCCATAGATAATCTTTGAGTCAGGCCTCAGCTCTGATTTTTCTCCCTGCTGCAGGCAAAAGCAGATATCCAGGAGGACAGAATACAAGCTTGGTAGGCAGGAAGCGTTACTCTTGTGTGTGTCTTTACTGTTTAAAGTGTACTGTTTACTTACAGAGCTTTGTGTCAGAATGAATAGAGATGAGATCTTTGTAAGTATGGACTATGTCTTAATCATCTTTCTTGTTCCTTTATTCTATTTTTACTATTAAAAGTATAGTAAAATATACAGACAATAATCAACCCATGTACCTCCCACCAGAATATATTGTCATATGTGCATTATCTTTATATAATAAATATTAAATATGTGACTAAATCCTGGTATGTCTCTGAAGTCTTATTCACTTCCCTCCCTCTCCAGAAGCAACCATTGTTAAGTAAGTTTATGCCCTAGACTCACGTATTTCTACTTTGAGTACCATAAACAACACATAGTATTTTTTATGCTCTAATAACTTAAATAAATGGTGTAATATTCCACATATGTATAAGGACTACATAGTACTTCTTTCATTCAATAGTACAATCTTAGAGATCCATCCAATTTGATGCATACAAATTTAACTCATTAATTTTAATTGCTAAAGAGCATTATATCCTACTAATACATTGCAATTTATTTTTTTTGCTCCCTACACTCTTTCCGGTTCTCTATTTATAGTTCAAAATCACATTGAATATCCTTATACATGTTTCCTTTGCATGTGACTATATCTGGAAGGTGAAATTTCTGAGTCATCAGGTACATGCTGTGCCAATTTTACTAGATGCAGCCAACTTGTTTCCAAAGTGTGTGTACCAATCTATACTCCCTTCAGCAGGATATATGAATCCCCCTTTTTTGTCAAATCTGGTCAACATTTGGTATTTCTTAGACTTTTAAAAATTTGCCCATCTGATGGTTGAGAAACCTCACTGAGGTTTTAAATTGCATTTCCCTGATTAGTGAGGTTGAGCATATTTTCATATTTATTGGCAGTTCTGGCTTTCTCTTCCATGAATAACCTGCTGAAATCTTTTGCCTTCTGTTCAATTGAATGATCTGTCTTTTTCTTTTCTCTCTCTCTTTTTTTTGGAGTTACACTCTGGAGCCAATCATCATGAGTTCCCATTATAAATGTGCCGCTTTATAGCTATGTGTACTTGGCGATGTGACTTAACCTCACCATGGCTCACTTTCTTCAGCTCTAAAATGGAAAAAAAAAAGTAGTATCTCATAGGATTATTGTGGCAGTTAAGAGAGTTAATACATATTAACCTGTTAGAAGAGATCCTGGCATATAGTAACTGCTTAATAAAGGTTAGCTATTATTATCATCCTCAAGGAGGAAAAGTGTTCTTTATGTATTCCAGACTGATTCTTTGTCTATTAAGTATGTTACAAAAAATCTTCTTGTCTTTTAGGTTTGTAAACTTTTGTCATGCATGTATTTGAAATTTTAGTGTAAATTTATCAATTTTCTTTATAATTTGTTCTTTTTTCTATGTAAACATATTTTTCTTCACAGGATCATAAAGTTGTGCTCCTGTTTTAACTTTTACAACTTTTTTTTTAATTTAAGCCTTTATCTACCTTTGTTTTTATATAGAGGTAATTCTCTAATTTTCTTTTCATACAGATAAATTTTTTGGATTTTTGGGGGTTTTTTTGTTTGTTTGTTTTGTTTTTGTTTTTGTTTTTGTTTTTTTGAGATAGAGTCTCGCTCAGTCACTCAGGCTGAAATGTAGTGGTGCAGTCTTGGCTCACTGCAACCTCTGCCTCCCAGGTTCAAGTTATTCTCCTGTCTCAGCCTTCCAAGCAGCTAGGACTACAAGATAGAGCCACCATACCCAGAAAATTTTTATATTTTTAATAGAGATGAGGTTTTACCATGTTAGCCAGGCTCATCTTGAACTCCTGGCCTCAAGTGATCTGCCCACATCAGCTTCCCAAAGTGCTGGGATTACAGGCGTGAGCCACCACACCTGGTCTCATACAGATAACTATTTAAATAAATTTTGATTTGTGAAGCCACTTCTCTCATAAATCAAGTTCCCATATACCCCAGGGTCTATTCCTGAGCTCTTAAGTCTATCTAATTAACATATTTTTAACCCTGTAAAATACCACACTGTTTTAATTACTACAGCTTTAAATCAGTTCTTGAAATTCAGGAGAATAACTCCTCTTAGTTCTTGTTCTTTACTGTCCTGCCTATTCTTGAACATTTACTCATAAACAGGAATTTTAAAATAAGTCCATCATGGCTGGGCATGGTGGCTCACACCTGTAATCCCAGCACTTTGGGAGGCTGAGGCAAGAGGATCACTTGAGACCAGGAGCTTGAGGCCAGCCTGGCCAACGTGGTGAAACCCCATCTCTACTTAAAAATAGAAAAATTAGCTGAGCATGGTGGCACCTGCCTGTAATCCCATCTACTTGGGTGGCTGAGGCACGAGAATTACTTGAGCCTAGGAGGCAGAGGTTGCAGTGAGCTGAGATCGTGCCCCTGCACTCTAGCCTGGGTGATAGAGAGAGAGACTCTGTCTCTAAATAAATAAATAAATAAAATAAATCCATCAAATCCATGGAAAATAATTTCATTGGGATTTTTACTGGAATTACATTGAATTTATAGATCAATGTGGGAAATAATTTATAGCATATATTCATGATGTTGAACTTGCATATCCATAACCAAGCTCCTTTTTGACTTTGTATAGTTGTGTAATTTTCTTCATAAAAGTATTAAATACTATTTGTTAGATTATTTTTGCCCTAGGCACTGTGTAAATTTGAATGCAATTGTGAATGAGATCTTTAAAAAAATAACATTTTCTATTTTCCAATTATTGTTAAATAAAATCTCACTAATTATTTTTGTATGTTGATCTTATTTCTGGCAATCTTCCTGAACTTTTTAAATTCTAAATAGTTAGTCTATGAATTCTTTTTGCATTTTGTATGCAAACAATGATACCATCTGCAAATAACGATTGTGCTTCTTTTTTTCAAATAATTATATCACTTATTTCTTTTTATTGCATTTTTGAATTGGTTAAAACTTCCAGTAATTGCTACATAGAAGTGGTTTTAGTGAATAATTTATTGTCTTGAGTTTAATGTGAATGCTTCTAAAAATCTGACCATAAAGTATGGCATTTTCTGTGGGTTTGGGTACATGCTCTTTACAAAGTTAAGGAAGTTTTTTTTCCCCAGTACTAATGTACTGGTCTTTTCCTTAATTTATGAATGAATATTGACCTTATAAAATATTTTTCTACATTCGTTGAGATGCTCACGTTTTTGTCTTTTTTTTTCCATGTGTTGAATGAAGATTTATAGATCTTTTAAATGTTGACATATCTTTGTATACTTGGGATAATCTGTTTTATCCTGATGTACTATAAATCCAATTCTGGGTTTGCTAACATGTTATAATTTGTTCTTCCATGCTATAGTGAGATTGGACAATATATCTCATTTCTTATACTTCTTGTGCCTAATTTTGATATCAAATAATAGGTAGTTTACTCTCTTTATTCATTTGCTGAAAGAGATTTTATCAGAAAGGAATTATGAGCTTCTGATTTGTGGTAAAAACTTCTCTATAAAATTATGTGGGCTTGGTACCTTTTTAGGGAGAATTTTTGATTACTAATTAATTTTTGTTATAGATCATTATTTTTCTAATATAGGTTTGTGAAGGCCCAACTGTATTAATTATATTTTACTGTGTCTTATACTGTGGTAAGATGAAATGTTCTGTATGATATCAATTATTTGGACATTTTTTAGACCTTTTATAAACTAAAACGTGACCAACTTTTTAATAAATGATACATGCATATTTAAAAACCATATGTGCTCCTTACTCCTTACATAAGAATATAGTTATGTTGTATTACGGTGTGTTACATTATATTACCATAGAGAAAACAGCTATTTTATTCAAATCTTTAGCATCTTTACTAACATTGACTTCTTGATCTATCAGTTTCTAAAATAGGTGTTAAAATTTTTACACAAGTATTATGTATTTACAAATGTCTTCATGTAATTCTATCAGCACTTATTTCATAAATTTATAAATGTATGATATGGTTTGGCTGTGTCCCCACCCAAATCTCACCTTGAATTGTAAAAATCTCCACATGCCAAAGGTGGGGCCAGGGAGAGACAATTGAACCATTGGGGGAGTTTCCCCCATACTGTTCTCATGGTAGTGAATAAGTCTGACGGATCTGATGGTTTTATAAATGGGAGTTCCCTTGCACAAGTTCTCTTGACTGCTGCCATGTAAGACATGACTTTGCTCCTCCATCACCTTCTGCCATGATTGTGAGGCCTCCCCAGCCATGTAGAACTGTGTGAGTCAATTAAACCTCTTTCCTTTATAAATTACCCAGTCTAGGGTATGTCTTTATTAGCAGCATGAGAAGAGTAAGACTATATATATATATATATATAAATTCATGATAGTTATAGTTTCAGTTATAGTATCAGTATATAATGTTTGATACAGCTTAAGTTCTCTGAGAGGCAACCAGGAAGATGGTGATTAACATATAAGATGTTTATTAGGTGGGACTCCTGGGATCAAAACCTGTAGAAGAAAAGGAAAAAAAAAAACACGTTTGGGCAGAGGGAGAAGTTGAGCTGTGATGCAGTCTCAACAGAGACCTAAGATGACCCCATGAAGAGCTCTGGAGCTGGGATGGTCCTTTAGAGTTTGCCCAGTTAAGGCAAGGGTTCCAGGACTTTATACCCTCTGGACGATCAGTCACTAGATGTGGACTTCTCTGAAAGAAGTGTGATTTGGGGTGAGACAGTGTTTTTAGTAAAGGCAATCTCTCAGGAGAAGTTTACAGCTAAGGACTGCCTTTCATCAGCACTTCTAGAAGCTGGGGGAGTATGTCCTTAATTAGTAAAGAGGAATCTGGAGGCATATTATAGTACTCAACACAGACTACACCTTAAGTGCCTGGATTCACTTACTCATATAGGTTCTGGCAGTGACTCTTCTAACAATCCAGTGGAAAAACTTAGAAAAGAAAAAAAAATGTGATGATAAACTACAGTCCCCATCACTTTTGCTTATCTCAAGTCCAGAAATGATCTTTGTTATCTCCCTTCTCTACCACTTATTATAAATTTCCCTTACCCCCAGCTAGCACCTCTGGTGGTCTTGGAGACTTGCCTGGTGATGTGAACTAGATCTTCAACCATGTGCAGTCTAATTCCCTTCCTCATTACCATTACCTTTTCAGACCAGAGTTACTGTATTTGTGCAATTATTGTCAAAACGTGATATAGAATCACTAAAAGATACTTAAGTGTATTATCTGGCTGCTAAATATATTCCTAATGTTCTCATTGTGTAACAGCATCCTGACTTACTCCTGCCAAGACAGTGATTCATTTCCTTACCTGCTGACCCTTTGGCATGAGTTGCCCAAAGTGCTAGACAGGAGCCATAGCTGGGCCCTATTAAAATCTGGCAGATTTTCATATCATCTGGTGTTTAGGTCACATTAGTATTCCCAGATATGGTTCCCATAATGTGGAATATGCTGCCTTTGTAACCCAAAGAAACCTTCCAGGCATTTTGCTTCCTTCTTCATGCTGAGAATACAAATTTTGATAATTTGTTCTTTATTTGGGGAGGATGGGTGATTCTTATCATGCCATAAACACCGTACATCCGTAATTTTACTTATGTGCCAGGCCCTGAATATTCATAGGGTTTAACTCCAACTCTCTAGAGAATATGCTTCTTAGCAAATCCTCCAACTAGCATCTATATTTTGCTCATCTGGTTCCATTAGCATGTTGTCAATATAGTGAACAAATTTGACATTCTGTATGGATGTCTAAATGGTCTGTACCTCTTCATACTGTATTTAAACAAAGGGCAGAGGAGTTAACACAGCCTTGAAACAAACATGTAATTGATTCAGTTGTCCACTTTAAATGAAATTCTTTTCATTTCCTCTTCCTAATGATGAAAAAAATATATTTTCCAGAGCAACGGAAATATGGCTGCATACCATATATCTGATGACATGTTAATCTGCTCTAGCAAACATACCACATCTGCCACTGGGTCCGATACCTGGCTATGTTTGCAGTAGTCCACTGTAATAATATGTCTTGTTTTTGCAGAAATCAGATTGGTGAATTAAACAGAGACTGAAGGGGACCATCATTCCTGTATCCTTTAACAAACTGTAAAGGTGGCACTAATTTCAACCATTCATATTGGACAATTTTTTTTAAGTAACTATCTTGAAACAAGTATGGGGGATAAGCTGTTTTCACAGGCTTCTTCTTAACTTTTCCCCTAATCCTGTAGGCTGAAGATTCAACGTGGAGGTTGTGCCAACTACCAAGTATGTCTATTACAATTATTAATTGGGGTCTGCAGAAATGACCACTGGATGAGTTCACAGATACGGTAAACAGACTGTGGGCTGGACTTGGCTATCCCAGGTCCCCACTCTGACAGAAAAATCATGATGACACTTTGACCTCAATATCAACTTGGATTCTCTTTCCAACAGTCTTTAAAGTGTTTGGATATTCCACTTTCCCTAGGATACAGTTACCCAATAGAAGGCAGTAGGTCCCTTTGAGAAAAGGAAGTAGCCACTACCACATACATTTACCATGATTTTGCAGGGTTCCTCTAAAAGCGTCTCTTCTCATATCAATGAGTTCTGGGTATAAAAACTGGATATTGGACAGGGAATTGTAATTTTTATTGGAATGATGGCTCTCAGCCTTGTCATTATTATCCTTGAATTTGATGTTTGATTTTACAGATAGAATAGCACTACTGTTAGCTGTTGCTGTGGTTTGAATGTGTACCCCAAAGTTCATGTGTTGGAAACTTAATTCCCAATTCCAGTGTTGATGGCTGTCAGCCTTGTCATTATTATCCTTGAATTTGATGTTTGATTTTACAGATAGAATAGCACTACTGTTAGCTGTTGCTGTGATTTGAATGTGTTCCCCAAAGTTCATGTGTTGGAAACTTAATTCCCAATTCCAGTGTTGAGAGGTAGGACATTTAAGAGGTGACTAGGTCCTGAGGACTCTTCCCTCAAGATGGATTAAGGCTGTTATTGCAGGATTCGGTTTGTTATTGTGGGAGTAGATTCCTGATTAAAGGATGAGTTCATTCCCGTACCTCTTCCCACATCCTCTCTTTCATGCATGTGCACTCTTTTTTTTTTTTTTTTTTTTGAGACGGAGTCTTGCCCTGTCACCTAGGCTGGAGTGCAGTGGCGCAATCTCAGCTCACTGCAACCTCCACCTCCTGATTTCAAGCAATTCTCCTGCCTCAGCCTCCTGAGTAGCTGGAATTATAGGCAGGTGCCACCATGCCTGGCTAATTTTTGTATTTTTAGTAGAGATGGGGTTTCACCATATTGGTCAGGCTCATCTCGAACTCCTGACTTCAGGTGATCTGCTGCCTCCGCCTCCCAAAGTGCTGGGATTACAGGCATGAGCCACCGCACCCGGCCCACATTTCCTTTATTTCCTTTTTCTCCCCTTTCTACTGGTTTAGGAATTAAACATTGCATTCCTTCCTCCCTTTTTTGGTATTTGCCTTTATAATGCTAATGCACAAAGTTAACTAAATCTATGACTAATCAATATCTCTCTTATACGACTGAATTAGAGGAATATAGAGTAATTAAAGTCAATTTCTCGCTATCATCCATGATATTGTGTCATAGTTTGATTCTGCTTAGGACTGATACATGTCCCCACCCTTACGTACACATGTGATTCGTATATGCCCACAAACATTCATCATTCTACCACTGTGGCTTTGAGTTTCTTGTTCATTTCTGGGACTTTGTGATATTTCCTTCTTCCTGCTTTCAATTTCAGCTATACAGTTTAAGAAAAGGTTTGTGTTCTATCTAAGTCAGCATTTCTTTTTTTTTTTTTTTTTTTTTGAGATGGAGTCTCACTCTGTCACCCAGGCTGGAGTGCAGTGGCGAGATCTCAGCTCACTGCAAGCTCCGCCTCCCGGGTTCACATCATTCTCCTGCCTCAGCCTCCCAAGTATCTGGGACTACAGGCGCCCACCACCACACCTGGCTAATTTTTTTGTATTTTTAGTAGAGGCGGGGTTTCACTGTGTTAGCCAGGATGGTCTCGATCTCCTGACTTTGTGATCCGCCTACCTCGGCCTCCCAAAGTGCTGGGATTACAGGCGTGAGCCACCGCACCCGGCCTCTAAGTCAGCATTTCTATATATTTGGAGCAGAATGAAAGGTTGATTACTTCTGCTTGGCCACCACATTGATCAGAAGTTTCCTTTTATTAATCTTTGCTTTTTTTCAATTCTTGAAAGCTCTCTGGCACATAGAGGATCATCCATACCATTCATTCATTCAATAATTATTTAGTGAGCATCTCCTGATGGCTGGTGCTAAGCCCTGGAGTTAGGAAAATTCACTTCAGTGTGTCTGGAAAATGTTTATTCTGTGGTTGAAAAGATGATAAGAGGGTGTGTTTTTCCTTGGGTGCTGTTATAATTATCTCTTTTAGTTAAACATTCCTAGGGACTAATGCACTCCTAAAATGAAGTGGACTGTTGTAAGAATTTCCACTCTATTAGGAATGACAGTAGAGTTTTGATCCCAGTAACCCACCTCAGGGAAAGCCTGTGTAATTGAAATTTACCAATAAATTTAAAATTCATTTTAGCCAAGAGACCTCACCTCATTTTTCACCCACTCTCCCCTCTCTCCTACCCTCTGATGCACCCATATACTCTTCAGGGATCTCTGCTTCATCTGGCATGAAGTCAGCTCGGGTGCTATTTTACTTTCATTTTCTATTTCTCATTGTTCACAGTGTTTGTCTCTCCCTCCCAGAAGCCTTCCACCACAGAGTAAGAACATGCAGGAAATCAGTGTGTCTTGAGCAATTTCTAAGCCTCGCTGGGAGGTGCAGCAAAGCAATAGAAAAACAAGGAGAATCAGTCTCCCAAGTTTTCCTCTCACCACACCTTCCCTCCAGAAGTACTTGACCTCCATCAGCCTCCCAGAGCTGGCCCTCCGGCTCTCTGGAGCTCCCTGACAGGTCCCAGGTGGTGAATATCATCTGCTTCTTGTTAGAATTCTGCCCTGTGTGAGCAGGTTTTAGAAGCAGCCTTTGAGAGCTTGTTTGCTATCAGCCCTCTGACACTTCTGTCTCCTTCACAGACACCCAGTAATTGGGTCCTCTTGGGTCATGAGCTACAAACACTTCTCCACTTACTCTACAAAGTTTTTTTTTCTTTTATCAAACATAGATTTGCAGCTAAACTGTTCCTTTGTCATGCCCAAGGTGTAAAAACCCATCTTATTTTCTTTCTGGTCTTTGGCTCAAAAAGAGAAGTTTTTCTTTTTGAGTGGTCCCAGCCCAGATGGCAAAATGAACTTTAAATTTACCAAGTTAATTATTCCCTTGTGCTACGTTGTTTGAAAAAAAGCCCATACATTTAAAATTATGAAATGAAATGTCATTGTAACTCTCCTAGCAGATTTTAATTTGATATTGTGATTAATAATGATATCATGGTGTCAAAGGTGTATTGGATAAAGAAAATACGGTACATATACACCATGGAATACTATGCAGCCACATAAAAGAATGAAATAATGTCCTCTGCAGCAACATGGATGCAGCTGGAAGTCATTATCTTTTTTTTTTTTTTTTTTTTTGAGATGGAGTCTCGATCTGTTGCCCGGCTGGAGTGCAGTGGCACAATGTCAGCTTACTGCAACCTCCGCCTCCCAAGTTCAAGCAATTCTCCTGCCTTAGCCTCCCGGGTAGCTGGGATTACCTGTGCACGCCACCATGCCCAGCTAATTTTTGTGTTTTTAGTAGAGACAGGGTTTCACCATGTTGGCCAGGATGGTCTCAATCTCTCCACCTTGTGATCTGCCCGCCTCGGTCTCCCAAAGTGCTAGGATTACAGGCATGAGCCATTGCACCTGGCCGGAAGTCATTATCTTAAGCAAACTAACACAGAAACAGCAAACCAAATACCACATGTTCTCATTTATATGAGGGAGCTAAACTTTGGGTACAGATGGACATAAAGATGAGAACGACAGACACTGGGGACTACAAGAGGGGAAACAGAGGGAGAGGGGAAAGGGTTGGAAAACTACCTATTGGGTACCATGCTCACTACCTGGGTGATAGGTTCAATTGTACCTGAAACCTCAGGATCATCCAATACACCCATGTAACAAACCTACACATGTACCCCCAAATCTGAAAGAAAAATACAAAAAGAAAAAATAAATAAATGAATAAATCATGATGACAATCATGATATAATAGCAATGGGATAGTAATGGCTACAGTTATTGTGTGTGTGGCAGGCACTTGCTAGATGCTTCCCATGCTTTATCTACGTTCACACTAACAACATTATGAGGTCATTTCTGTTAATTTCACCTTTTTACAGATAGGAAAAATGAGGCTTAGGGAAGTAAATTACCTTGTCAAAAGCCACAGATAGTATGTAGTGAAGCTGGAATTTAAGCCCCATAGCCTGGATCTGTAACCACCATGTTGTGCTACTTTCTGAATATCCAACAAATATTTTGTTAGGTTAAGCACAATTTCAGTGCCAGTAACCACAATTGTAAGTAATACACCATCATTTCTGGCAAGTTCACATAAAAACCAACCACTGAGTCGTAGAAGGAGAAAAAATTAACCAGGCAAAAGTTGTCAAAGTATTTCTGGTAGAAGAGGCTGAATGCATGAAGACAAAGATCAAAAACCAGTAGAGATAATTCTGGTAACCACAAGGAGTTTATTGTCATAAGGCTGGAGATTTGGATGAAGGGGTAGACAGGAGCAACACAAGAAAGAGCCTGGCATACCATGATGGTCCTCTGGGAGTCTTTGAATATAATCAAGATATAAGAGTCACCCTGATTTGCATCCTATAGAAGAAAGAGCTATAGGCAATTCAGAAGTGAATGCAATTAAGTCCTGATATGCTTCTATTATTCCTGAAATAGCTCTGATTTCCATGGAAGAGAAGTTTAAATTCTAACCCTGAGATTGTGTATCGTGCTTCTAGAGGCTGGGAGACTACTGATGGTCGCTTGTATTTCATGGGCATTAAATGATCTGAAGAACAGAGTTCTGGACTGGAACAAAAATTGGGGACTTTTCACTCAACAAACTTTTTTAAAAACATGGTTATAATGTGTCATGCTCTATGACAGTTGCTAAGGATACCAAGTCAAATAAGAATGGAAGCTACCACTCATGAATGTTATAGTGACTTGAGAGGCTGAAGCTGGAGGATCACTTGAGCCCAGGGGTTGAATGCAGCCTGGGCAATATGGCAAGATCCTGTCTCTTAAAAAAACATTAGGAGGGACGTTCCTAGATGGCCAGATAGGAAGAGCTCCATTCTACAGCTCCCAGCGTGAGCGATGCAGAAGACAGGTGACTTCTGCATTTCCAACTGAGGTACCGGGTTCATCTCACTGGGGCTTGTTGGACAGTGGGTGCAGCCCACGGAGTGTGAGCCGAAGCAGGGTGGGGCATCGCCTCACCTGGGAAGCGCAAGGGATCGGGGAATTCCCTTTCCTAGCCAAGGCAAGCTGTGACAGATGGTACCTGGAAAATCGGGACACTCCCACCCTAATACTGCGCTTTTCCAATGGTCTTAGCAAACAGCACACCAGGAGATTATATCCTGCGCCTGGCTCAGAGGGTCCCACACCCACAGAGCCTCACTCATGGCTAGCACAGCAGTCTGAGATCGAACTGCAAGGTGGCATCGAGGCTGGGGGAAGGGCGTCCACCATTGCTGAGACTTGAGTAGGTAAACAAAGCAGCTGGGAACCTTGAACTGGGTGGAGCCCACTGCAGCTCAAGGAGGCCTGCCTGCCTCTGTAGACTCCACCTCTGGGGGCAGGGCATAGCTGAATAAAAGGCAGCAGAAACTTCTGCAGACTTAAAGTCCCTGTCTGACATCTTTGAAGAGAGTAGTGGTTCTCCCAGCACAGAGTTTGAGATCTGAGAACGGACAGACTGCCTCCTCAAGTGGGTACCTGACCCCCGAGTAGCCTAACTGGGAGACATCTCCCATTAGGGGTCGACTGACACCTCATACAGCTGGGTGCCCCTCTGAGATGAAGCTTCCAGAGTAAGGATCAGGCAGCAACATTTGCCGTTCTGCAATATTTGCTGTTCTGCAGCCTCCACTGGTGATACCCAGGCAAACAGGGTCTGGAGTGGACCTCCAGCAAACTCCAACAGACCTGCAGCTGAGGGTCCTGACTGTTAGAAGGAAAACTAACAAACAGAAAGGACTCCACACCAAAACCCCATCTGTACATCACCATCATCAAAGACCAAAGGTAGATGAAACCACAAAGATGGGGAGAAACCAGAGCAGAAAAGCTGAAAATTATAAAAATCAGAGTGCCTCTTCTCCTCCAAAGGAAAGCAGCTCCTCACCAGCAATGGAACAAAGCTGGATGGAGAATGACTTTGACGAGTTGAGAGAAGAAGGCTTCAGATGATCGGTATAACAAACTTCTCCAAGCTAAAGGAGGATGTTCGAACCCATCGCAAAGAAGCTAAAAACCTTGAAGAAAATTAGATTAATGGCTAATTAGAATAAACAGTGTAGAGAAGACCTTAAATGACCTGATGGAGCTGAAAACTATGGCACGAGAACTATGTGATGCATGCACAAGCTTCAGTAGCCAATTAGATGAAGTGGAAGAAAGGGTATCAGTGATTGAAGATCAAATGAATGAAATGAAGCGAGAAGAGAAGTTTAGAGAAAAAAGAATAAAAAGAAATGAACAAAGCTTCCAAGAAATATGGGACTATGTGAAAAGACCAAATCTACATCTGATTGGTGTACCTGAAAGTGACGGGCAGAATGGAACCAAGTTGGAAAACACTCTTCAGGATATCATCCAGGAGAACTTCCCCATCCTAGCAAGGCAGGCCAACATTCAAATTCAGGAAATACAGAGAACGCCACAAAGATACTCCTCGAGAAGAGCAACTCCAAGACACGTAATTGTCAGATTCACCAAAGTTGAAATGAAGGAAAAAATATTAAGGGCAGCCAGACAGAAAGGTCAGGTTACCCACAAAGGGAAGCCCATCAGACTGATAGCAGATCTCTTGGCAGAAACTCTACAAGCCAGAAGAGAGTGGGGGCCAATATTTAACATTCTTAAAGAAAAGAATTTTCACCCCAGAATTTCATATCCAGCCAAACTAAGCTTCATAAGTGGAGAAGAAATAAAATCCTTTACAGACAAAGAAACACTGAGAGATTTTGTCACCACCAGGCCTGCCTTACAAGAGCTCCTGAAGGAAGCACTAAACATGGAAAAGAACAACTGATAACAGCCACTGCAAAAACATGCCAAATTGTAAAGACCATCAATGCTAGGAAGAAACTACATCAACTAACGAGCAACATAACCAGCTAACATCATAATGACAGGATCAAATTGACACATAACAATACTAACCTTAAATGTAAATGGGCTAAATGCTCCAATTAAAAGACACAGACTGGCAAAGTGGATAAAGAGTCAAGACCCATCAGTGTGCTGTATTCAGGAGACCCATCTCACGTGCAGAGACACACGTAGGCTCAAAATAAAGGGAGAGAGGAAGATCTACCAAGCAAATGGAAAACAACAAAAAAAGCAGGGGTTGCAATCCTAGTCTCTGATAAAACAGGCTTTAAACCAACAAAGATCAAAAGAGACAAAGAAGGCCATTACCTAATAGTAAAGGGATCAATTCAACAAGAAGAGCTAACTATCCTAAATATATATGCACCCAATACAGAGCACCCAGATTCATAAAGCAAGTCCTTAGAGACCTACAAAGAGACTTAGACTCCCAAACAATAATAATGGGAGAGTTTAAAACCCCATTGTCAACATTAGACAGATCAATGAGACAGAAGGTTAACAAGGATATCCAGGAATTGAACTCAGCTCTGCACCAAGCAGACCTAATAGACATCTACAGAACTCTCCACCCCAAACCAACAGAATTTACATTCTTCTCAGCACCACATCACACTTATTCCAAAATTGACCACATAGTTGGAAGTAAAGCGCTCCACAGCAAATGTAAAAGAACAGAAACTATAACAAACTGTCTCTCAGACCACAGTGCAAACAAACTAGAACTCAGGATTAAGAAACTCACTCAAAACTGCTCAACTACATGGAAACTGAACAACCTGCTCCTGCATGACTACTGGGTACATAACAAAATGAAGGAATAAATAAAGATGTTCTTTGAAACCAATGAGAACAAAGACACACATACCAGAATCTCTGGGACACATTTAAAGTGTAGAGGGAAATTTATAGCACTAAATGCCCACAAGAGAAAGCAGGAAAGATCTAAAATTGACACCCTAACATCACAATTAAAAGAACTAAAGAAGCAAGAGCAAATACATTCAAAAGCCAGCAGAAGTCAAGAAATAACTAAGATCAGAGCAGAACTGAAGGAAATAGAGACATAAAAAACCCTTCAAAAAATCAATGAATCCAGGAGCTGGTTTTTTGAAAAGATCAACAAAATTGACAGACCACTAGCAAGACTAATAAAGAAGAAAAGAGAGAAGAATTAAATAGATGCAATAAAAAATGATAAAGGGGATATCACCACTGATACCACAGAAATACAAACTACCATCAGAGAATACTATAAACACCTCTATGCAAATAAACTAGAAAATCGAGAATAAATGGATAATTTCCTGGATACATACACCCTTCCAAGACTAAACCAGGAAGAAGTTGAATCCCTGAATAGACCAATATCAGGCTCTGAAATTGAAGCAATACTTAATAGTCTACCAACCAAAAAGAGTCCAGGACCAGACAGATTCACAGCCAAATTCTACCAGAGGTACAAAGAGGAGCTGGTACCATTCCTTCTGAAACTATTCCAATCAATAGAAAAAGAGGGAATCCTCCCTAACTTGTTTTATGAGGCCAGCATCACCCAGATATCAAAGCCTGGCAGAGACACAACAAAAAAAGAGAATTTTAGACCAATATTCCTAATGAACATTGATGCAAAAATCCTCAATAAAATACTGGCAAACCGGATCCAGCAGCACATCAAAAAGCTTATCCACCACGATCAAGTTGGCTTCATCCCTGGGATGCAAGGGTGGTTCAACATATGCAAATCAATAAACGTAATCCAGCATATAAACAGAACCAAAGACAAAAACCACATGATTATCTCAATAGATGCAGAAAAGGCCTTCAACAAAATTCAACAGCCCTTCATGCTAAAAACTCTCAATCAATTAGGTATTGATGGGACGTATCTCAAAATAATAAGACCTATTTATGACAAACCCACAGCCAATATCATACTGAATGGGCAAAAACTGGAAGCATTCCCTTTGAAAACTGGCACAAGACAGGGATGCCCTCTCTCACCACTCCTATTCAACATAGTGTTGGAAGTTCTGGCCAGGGCAATCAGGCAGGAGAAAGAAATAAAGGGTATTCAATTAGGAAAAGAGGAAGTCAAATTGTCCCTGTTTGCAGATTACATGATTGTATATTTAGAAAACCCCACTGTCTCAGCCCAAAATCCCCTTAAGCTGATAAGCAACTTCAGCAAAATCTCAGGATACAAAATCAATGTGCAAAAATCGCAAGCATTCCTAAACACCAATAACAGAAAAACAGAGAGCCAGATCGTGAGTGAACTCCCATTCACAATTGCTTCAAAGAGAATAAAATACCTAGGAATCCAACTTACAAGGGATGTGAAGGACCTCTTCAAGGAGAACTACAAACCACTGCTCAACGAAATAAAAGATGGCACAAACAAATGGAAGAGCATTCCATGCTCATGGATAGGAATAATCAATATCATGAAAATGGCCATACTGCCCAAGGTAATTTATAGATTCAATGCCATCCCCATCAAGCTACCAATGACTTTCTTCACAGAATTGGAAAAAACTACTTTAAAGTTCATATGGAACCAAAAGAGAGCCCGCATTGCCAAGACAATCCTAAGCCAAAAGAACAAAGCTGGAGGCATCATGCTACCTGACTTCAAACTACACTACAAGGCTACAGTAACCAAAACAGCATGGTACTGGTACCAAAACAGAGATATAAACCAATGGAACAGAACAGAGCTCTCAGAAATAATACCATACATCTACAACCATCTGATCTTTGACAAACCTGACAAAAACAAGAAATGGGGAAAGGATTCCCTGTTTAATAAATGGTGTTGGGAAAACTGGCTAGCCATACGTAGAAAGCTGAAACTGGATCCCTTCCTTACACCTTATACAAAAATTAATTCAAGATGGATTAAAGACTTAAATGTTAGACCTAAAACCATAAAAACCCTAGAAGAAAACCTAGGCAATACCATTCAGGACATAGGCATGGGCAAGGACTTCATGTCTAAAACACCAAAAGCAATGGCAACAAAAACCAAAATTGACAAATGGGATCTAATTAAACTAAAGAGCTTCTTAACAGCAAAGGAAACTACCATTAAAGTGAGCAGGCAACCTACAGAATGGGAGAAAATTTTTACAATCTACCCATCTGACAAAGGGCTAATATCCAGAATCTACAAAGAACTTAAACGAATTTACAGGAAAAAGTCAAACAACCCCATCAAAAACTGGGCAAAGGAGATGAACAGACACTTCTCAAAAGAAGACATTTATGCTGCCAACAGACACATGAAAAAATGCTCATCATCACTGGCCATCAGAGAAATGCAAATCAAAACTACAATGAGATACCATCTCACACCAGTTAGAATGGCAATCATTAAAAAGTCAGGAAACAGGTGCTGGAGAGGATGTGGAGAAATAGGAACACTTTTACACTGTTGGTGGGACTGTAAACTAGTTTAACCATTGTGGAAGACAGTGTGGCAATTCCTCAAGGATCTAGAACTAGAAATACCATTTGACCCAGCCATCCCATTACTGGACATATACCCAAATGACTATAAATCATGCGACACATGCACACATATGTTTATTGCAGCACTATTCACAATAGGAAAGACTTGGAACCGACCCAAATGTCCATCAATGATAGACTGGATTAAGAAAATGTGGCACATATACACCATGGAATACTATGCAGCCATTAAAAAGGATAAGTTCATGTCCTTTGTTGGGACATGGATGAAACTGGAAACCATCATTCTGAGCAAACTATTACAAGGACAGAAAACCAAACACTGCATGTTCTCACTCACTCATAGGTGGGAATTGAACAATGAGAACACTTGGACACAGGGTGGGGAACATCACACACTGGGACCTGTTGTGGGGTGGGAGGAGGGGGGAGGGATAGCATTAGGAGATATACCTAATGTAAATGACAAGCTAATGGGTGCAGCACACCTACATGGCACATGTATACATATGTAACAAACTTGCACATTGTGCACATGTACCCTAGAACTTAAAGTATAATAATAATAAAAAAAGAAATAACCATAAAAATAGGCAACCAGCCCTTGGGGCTGCTCCGTCTATGGAGTAGCCATTCTTTTATTCCTTTACTTTCTGAATAAACTTGCTTTCCCTTAAATAAATAAATAAGGTACCAGAATAAATAAATAAAATAAAAAATATTAATAGGAGATGGAAATATGTAAAAGAACAAATAGCCCCCAGTGTGATGATATGTTCAGTGATAAGAAGTATGCATAAAACAGTGTAAGACTACACAGGACGGGGATAGCAGAGCTTTGGGGAGAGAGCTCCATAATAGGTTCAAGTTCTGGCTCTGTTACTAATTATTAGGCAAGAAATGTAATTTCTTGGGGGCATCATTCCCCTTATCAGCAAAATGAGAACATTGGATGATATCCAGGTATGCTCTCAGTGTTAAAATTAGGTGATTAGAAGGTATCATTTTATGATACCACTGACTTAAAAATATTTGATTTACAAAATTCAGTATGTAGAAATGTAAGCTAAGCATCAATGTCTTCCCCCATCCCCTACTCCCTCTAGAGGTCAACTTCCTGTAGCATATTTGGGAAAAATGCCCTCAAATGATGTTTTGTAAGTTGAATGTCTGGGTATTAAAATTCTAAATGGCAGTTTTCTAGGCTAGCGCATAGCTGCATAACACAATGCTTTTAACTATTAGCTCTGGAGTCTGACCAGTCTTCTTGTGATCATGGGAACATGACTTTATCTTGGTAAATAACTTCCATGCTTCAATTTCAATTTCTTTATCCATAAAATGGGGTTAACAATTTTAGTGTTGCTAAGAGCAATAAATCAATTAATACATGTAAGTGTTTAAAATAATATCTGGACTACGATAGACATTAAGTAAATATTAATTATATAAATCTATAATGAAGCTCAGTGATTTTGCATCCTTTTTGCTTGTTTGGTTTAGGCCTGGGATACTGTCTACAAACAAGAGCTTATCTAATTACAGTTGTATATTGTAAACCCTAGGGCAAACACTAAAAACATTTTTTAAGTAGTATAAATAATGTCAATTAGGAAATAAAGTGGAATCATAAAAATGCTCAATTAACCCAAGAGAAGAGAGAAAAAGAGTTAAAAAGAAATAAGGAACATATGGAAGAAACACAAAACAGCTAACATGATGGTAGATGTTAATCCAACCATATCAACAATCACATTAAATATGAATGCCTGAATGCACCAGTTAAAAAAGGGAGATTGTCAGATAGGATCGAAAAGCAAGCCCCAACAATATGCTTTCCTCAATAAATCAATTTTAAATAAAAGACATTTATAAAGTAAAAGTTAAAAGAAAGGAAAAAATATACCATGTAAACACTAACCCAAAAAGGCTGAAATAGCTATTTTGATAAGAAACAAAATAGACCTCAGAAAAAGGAACATTATCAAGGATAAAGAGAGACATGACATAATGATAAAATAATCAATTTTACAAGAAGACATAACAATGCTAAACGTTTACGCACACAACATCAGAGTTTCAAAATGCATTAGACAAAACCAACTAGAACTGAAAGGAAATAAAGGCAGAGCCAGAATTGTAGTTGGAGACTTTATTACTTTTCTCTCAGTAACTGATAGAACATGTAAAGAGAAAATCAGCAAGAATATGGAAGTCCTTAACAACATTATTAACCAATTATACCTAATTGACATTTCTGGAGCACACCATAGAACAACAGCAAAATATACTTTCTTTTATTAGTGCATTAGAACACTCACCAGGACAGACTTCATTCAGGCTCAAAATAAACCTCAGCAAATTAAAAAGGGCAGAAATCATACAAAGTATGTTCTCAGACCATAACAGAATTAGCCTAGAGAAAAATAACACAACA
The DNA here is from genome assembly GCF_000001405.40 of Homo sapiens. Classification (NCBI taxonomy): domain Eukaryota; kingdom Metazoa; phylum Chordata; class Mammalia; order Primates; family Hominidae; genus Homo; species Homo sapiens. The sequence continues at coordinate 208,999,445 of NC_000001.11, forward strand.
CCAATTAGAAAATCTCCAAATAGTTGGAAATTAAACAGCACAATTCTAAATAATACATAGGTCAAAGAGGAAGTTTCAAAAAAAATTTAAAGTATTGTGAAGTGAATGAAAATGAACCTGCAGAACTTCAACAAATGTGAGATGACTAAAACAGTGATTACATGGAAGTGTATAGTATAAAATGGTTATAATAGAAATAAGAAGATCTCAAACCCACAATATAAGTTTTTACCTTACAAAACTAGAAGTAGAAGAGCAAACTACATCCAAAGCAAGCAGAAAAAATTAAATATAAATAAAACCAGAAATCAATGAATTTGAAAGAAGAAAAAACATATGATCATCAATAAATGCAGACAAATTATTTGACAAAATTAAACTTCCATTTATGGTAAAAACTCTTAGCAAACTAGAAATAAAAGAGAGCTTCCTTAATCTGAGAAAGTGCACAATGAACATTAAATGATGAAAGACTGAATTGTTTCGTCCTATAGTCAAGAATAAGGTAAGGATGTCCTCTGTCTCTCTCAACATCATTATGGAAGTCCTAGCCAGTGCAATAAAATAAGAAAATTAAGAAAAAAGAAGAGAAAAAATATTTATTTATGAACAACAAAAGTATCTATGTAGAAAATCCCAAAAGAAGTCTACAACAACCCTTCTAGAACTAATAAAAGAGCTTAGCAAGGTCACAGAATACAAAGTTAACAATTGGAATTCAAAGTTAATTAAAAAAAAAACCACTTACTATAATGCCAAAAATACTGAGGTATATAAATTTTCAAAATTACATGTAGGATCTGTATGCTAACAACTGCAAAATACTGATGAAAAAAATTAAAGTCCTAAATAAACTTAGAGACATATCACGTTAATAGATTGCAAGACTCAATATTGCTAAGATATCAATTCTTTCCGATTCAGTCTAGAGATGAAACAAAATCCCAGAAGCCTCTTTTGTAAATATTGATGAGGTGATTCTAAAATATATGTGAAAAGACTAATAAACTAGAATAGCCAGAACAGTTTTGAAAGAGAATAACATCCTGGGGACTTCCTTTCTTTATTTCAAGACTTAAAGTTACAGTAATCAAGACAGTGTGATATTGGTGAAAGGATAAATGTATAAATTAATGGATCAGATAGCAAAAAATAGGAAATAGATCCACACCAATAAAATATAGTCAACTGATTTTTTATAAAGGTGCAAATGCAATTCAGTGGAGAAAGTACAGTGTCTTCAATAAATAGCGCTGCAACAATTGGAAGTCTGTATGCAAAAAAAGATAATAATCTCAGCCTATATCTCACAGTTTCTACAAAGATTAGCCCTAAATAGATTATAGATATAAAAAATAAAGCTATAACACTTTTAGAAAAAAAAAACAGAAAATCTATGCCAACTTAGATTAAAGAGTTTTACTTACATCACCAAAAGCATGATCCATAAGTGCAAAAGCTCAATAAATTGTACTTAATTAAAATGAAAAATGTTTGCTCTTCAAAAGACACAGCCACAGACTAGAGAAAATACTTGCAAATCACATTTCTGGCAAAGCACTTCTGTCCAGGATATATAAAAACTCTCAAAATCCAGCAATGGGAAATCCACCCAATTAAAAAGTGGTTAGATTTTATTCTTTGTACCTTACCAGTCTGCATTACCTGCTGAACTGGCCTCACTCTGAAGACTAACACTTCTGCTAGAAGTAGCTCCTGACTTAAAGCTCCTTGTTTATCCCAGACATGTTAGTGGGAGAGATTTTGCTCTTTTAAGGGATTTTTAGAAGGAAGAGTTTTTATCCACTAAAAGGAGTTCACAGGATTTCAAGAGCTCTCTGACTATTGTATTACATTCCTCTTCCTATCTAATCCTTGCTTTTTAAGTCCAGGTGGGAGAAATCTGGTTGTCCTGGATGTTGAAGAAGTTCACTGTTGTGATGGTGTGTGACTTCAACCTATCATCAATTCCATGGCACAAAATGATGCCAAAATAATCCAGCAGCAGCTAAACTCAGAGGAGAAAACCAAATAAGCAGAGTAAGTTTTTAGCTGCAGAAATTAGAATAGATGGAGTCTGCTTTAAATTGGGAGGACTCCAACGCAGGAAGGAAATGTCCTTTTCAATTTTAAAGACTTTTTTTTTTCCCTGAAGGCAGTTTAACTCATATTTGCACTTACATACTTTTCTTTGCGTATTAAGGTAGCAGCCTTCAACTCAATCCATGCTGCATTTAAGGGTGGAATGTTTTGTTCATCAGAAAACTTAACAGAAACTGGCCTTTTATTTGTTACTTTCAAAAGGCCCACATGGTACAACTGGAGAAGTCCCAGTTTGTTTTTCTAAGTCATCAAAATGTATATAAATTTTCTAGATTGAATAACAGTCTTGCACATCTATCATGGTACAATTTAATATGCATCTTTCCCAATCCTTCTTCTCCCACCCTAAAAAAAAATGAAACCATTTTATGATGCATTGCACACCTTCTGGGTAAACTGATCTTTAAATTTTGAGACAGTATAAAGAAAATCTGGTTTTGTCTCACAGTTTAACTGACACCATTTTTTGTTCTGTATATTTAGAATAAAATTGTGAGAAATCTATATAAAGTCATCTTTGATCGCTTCAAAAAAGAAAAAAAAAAGTGGCCAGGCCCCTTGGCTCATTCGTGTAATCCCAGCACTTTGGGAGGACAAGGCGAGAGTGTCACTTGAGCCCAGGAATTCCAGCAGAATGGGCAACATAGTGAAGACCTTGTCTCTACAAAAAATCAGAAAATTAGCCAGGCATGGTGGCACACACCTGTGATCCCAGTTACTCAGAAGGGTGAGGTGGGAGGATCACTGAGCCTGGGGGGGCAAGGCTGCAGTGAGGTATGACTGCACCACTGCACTCCATCCAGCCTGGGTGACAGAGCAAGATCTTGTCTCAATAAAAACAAAACAAAAGAAAAGCAGTTAAAAGATCTAAACCATTTAACCAAAGAAAACGTGTATGGAAAATAAGCCTACAAAAGGATGCCCAACAACGTAAATGATAGGAAAATGCAAATTAAAGCTACCATGATGTATCACTACATACCTATTAGAATGGTTAATTAAAAAAAATAGCAATACCAAGCGTCGACAAAGGTATAAACCAACTAGAACTCATACATAGCTGGTGGAAATGCGAAATATTAGTCTCTTTGAGAAACACTTCAAGAATTCTTACAAAGGTAAACATATACCTATGCTATGATCCATTAATCCCACTTCTAGCTATCAAACTAAAAGAAATAAAAACTTATGTTCCTATAAAAACATGTACTTTGTATGAACATTTATAGGAGCTTTATTTATATTCTTCAAAAGTTGGAAACGTTCCAGATGTCCTTCAGCCAGAGAATCAATAGACAAGCTGTGGTAGATTTGTGTAAGAGAATAATACTATACGGCAATGAATAGGAAGAGACTATTGATTCACAAACAACACGGATGATCTTTTTTTTTAAGTTTAATTTTAATTTTTTTTGACACAGAGTCTCATTCTATCACCCAGGCTGGAGTGCAGTGGCATGATCTTGGCTCACTGCAACCTCTGCCTCCCAAGTTCAAGCAATTCTCCTGCCTCAGCCTCCTGAGTAGCTGGGATTACAGGTGCACGCCACCACACCCAGCTAATTTTTGTATTTTTAGTAGAGACAGGGTTTCACCATGTTGGCCAAGCTGGTCTCGAATTCCTTACCTCAAGTGATCTGCCCACTTTGGCCTCCCAAAGTGCTGGGATTACAGGCATGAGCCCGGCCTACGTGGATGAATCTTAAATGCATTTTGTTAAGTGAAAGGAGCTAGACTCAAAATGATACATGTTATATGATTCAATTTATATGATACTCTGGGAATAGGAAAACCCTAAGGAAGAAATATAGAACAGTGGTTTCCAGGCGTTCCATAGTAGGAGGAACAGTTGCTTATAAAGAGGCAGCACCAGTGGATTTCAGGGCTGATGGAGCTATCCTACATGCAATTGTGGTGACAGAAACATGGATCTATGCATTTGTCAAAACCCATAGAGCTGTTCACCAAAAAGAATAAATTTTACCATGTTTGTTTCTTTGTTTTTCAGAAAATCCATCAAGACAATGGGGAGGGCTGGTGGATACCAGACTGTGACAGAATTTAATTTATGACAAAAGAATCACATAACACATGACCTCACTGAAGGAGATGGAGAAGAAAGGAAGTGACCTACGTAACTTTGGAAAACAGTGTTTTGACTACATACTTAAAGGTTGAAGACATAAGAACTATGCAGAAACATTATAGTCTAATTGGTAAATTTATTTTTTAGAGGTGTATGGGTTAATAGCTCTGAAAATACTTTATTAGTAAACTAGGTTTTAACAAATGAGTAAATATATTTTAGCTAGTGAGAGCTAGATTTCTCAACATCAAAGAAATAAGTTACAAATAAGGAAAGGTGGAAGGCTAGAATGAACTTGTGGTCCTGAACTGGAATCAAGATACAAATGTAAGCTCATGCATTTTAAAAATTACACAGGAGAGAAAGATAATAGAAAAACAGAAATAGAAGTACATATGCATTAGTTAGTATTCAGACATATATTTCCTAGCTCCATCTACTAGACTAGAAGAAGTGATACTCAGCAAGGAGCATACCTAGAACTTAGATCTTAGTTTCTGAATACCGTTTTCTAATAAAAGGAACCAGCGCTCCATGGAAAACTGATTGACTCCAGGTTTGGGACAGAGATAATTCATGATAAACCTGTACCATTCCTGTGGCATCACAAAGTAAGTAATTCCTTAAATAAAAAAACTAAGGGGGTATATAAAATCACCAGTAGAGGCCGGGCGCGGTGGCTCACGCCTGTAATCCCAGCGCTTTGAGAGGCCAAGGCAGGCGTATCACAAGGTCAGGAGATCAAGACCAACCTGGCTAACACAGTGAAACCCTGTCTCTACTAAAAAAATACAAAAAATTAGCCGGGCGTGGTGGCGGGCGCCTGTAGTCCCAGCTACTCGGGAGGCTGAGGCAGGAGAATAGCATGAGCCCAGGAGGCGGAGCTTTCAGTGAGCCAAGATCCCGCCACTGCACTCCAGCCTGGGCGACAGAGCCAGACTCCGTCTCAAAAAAAAAAAAAAAAAAAAAAAAAAATCATCAGTAGAACACAAAAGTAATAATTGCTAGAATTAACAGGAAAAAGTTTAAGAGGCAACAAGATATTTGCATAGTGTTAAATTATCATCCAATAAATATTTAGTATATTATTAAGGGAAAAATAGTACCTTTACAGTGAAGAATTCTGGCAGACACCACCTTAACCAGGTGATAAAGGTTAATTAACATCAGCAGTAATAAGAGAAACGACATCAGGTACTCGTGAGGTAATGACATAATAAGAATGATGCGGCCGGGCGCGGTAGCTCATGCCTGTAATCTCAGCACTTTGGGAGGCTGAGGCAGGCGGATCACGAGGTCAGGAGATCGAGACCATCCTGGCTAACACGATGAAAACTGGTCTCTACTAAAAATACAAAAAATTAGCTGGGCCTGATGGCGGGCGCCTGTAGTCCCAGCTGCTGGGGAGGCTGAGGCAGGATAATGACGTGAACCCAGGAGGCGGAGCTTGCAGTGAGCCAAGATTGCGTCACTGTACTCCAGCCTGAGTGGCAGAGCGAGACTCCGTCTCACAAAAAAAAAAAAAAATAAGAATGATGCATCATCTCTGTGATACCCTTCCCAAGAATGCATAACTTCAATTTATCAGAAGAAAATAACAAACAAACCCCAATTGAGAGCCTTTCTACAAAATAACACAGGTGCTCTTCAAAAGTGTCAAGACTATGAAAGATAAGGAAAGCCAAAAGGACTGTCACAACTTGGAGGAGACGAGGAAGACCTTAATGCAAAGCGCTCTCCGGGATTGCAGAATCACTAATACAATAACCTGTAAATTATAGGGTCTATTTTATGCACATATATTTAAATTATATATATGCAAGGATTGCATCCTTGGATACAGAAAAGATATTAGTGGAAAAACTATTTATACATATATTGTTCTACTGGTTCTGCTTTTTTGATAGAACTCTTACTGATACAGCAGGTAAAAATAGAGCTGCTCCTGGTTGGTCCATCTGAAGGTGCTTTTCCATATCACCCTTTCCTTTCTACTCACTTGATTCCACTGGGAAGTGCTTTACTGAGCACTGTCTATAACTTCCATGCTCAGGTCTCTCTCAAAATAATGTTCCTGTCCCACACAGCTCCCACCAGAGAGGTAGATGTGGGATAGGTCACACTTCTGGGTGTTTTCCTTTTCCTCTCCATAATGTATATAAGGCTATGATATTGGATCCGACTACAGAAATGACTTAAGAGGTAAGTAAAGTGAATTGCAAGATAATTGAGTGAGAAGTAGAAAATATCTGTTTCCATAGTCCAAGTGAAAACACAAAAGCATATGATAGAAGGTCTAGGCAGGTTCCATCCCCATTCGCAGCCTTGCTTCCCTTATCCTCGAATCTGCCCTCCTTTCAAAAATGCCTCCTCCTTCAAATATTCACAGTGCAAATCCCCACCATTCTTCTAAGGTCAACCCCACAGGAATTAATCTGATACAAGGATTCGTTTCATTATCTCTTGGTGAAGGTCATTCTTAACAATACAATTCCTCAATCTAGATGAACTCTACGAACATCAACTGTTCATAGGAAATGTTTCTTCTGTTTATCTGGATATTATTCCCCTAAATACAACATAATTTACAGAGATCCTTGCCTCAACAGAGAATTATGTTTTAAGTTGTGTCAACCAAAATAGTGCCACCTGCCCCTTGAACAATCTTGACCCACAGCTGCCACCCAACTACCCCCATTTATGTATAAGTTATTTATTTTCTGCTTCTAAAGTTCACCCCCAACTCTTGAGGAACAAAGAAAAAACCCTATGAGTGTAGCTTTTTCAAGCCATCCAAATCTTTGTCTCCTGGAAACTGCCCAGTAAAAGTTTCAAAATGACTTTTTTATGTTCCTTGATCTGTGGTTTTCTGTGGTTAGTAGAAGAAAGTGCTAGAGTATTTTTTCCTCATATCTGACATTTCAAGGGGGGAGAAATAGGGACTAGGAAGCCATCGTTGTTTGTTCTTGATACAATAGCTGAAGTTCCTGATATTGCTCACCTGAAAATTTGAGGCGTGGGAGTGGGGTGAAGACCTGATATCTTAATTTCCAGGTTCAGAAGTAAAGTGCCAATAATATCAACTTATGAAAAATGATCCTATGACAAACCTCACATGTGGTACTAAATCCACTAAACATTTATCTCAATAATTTGAAAACTCTTATTTCCATTAGTTTGACTGACTGCAATTCCATAAATTATACATCTATTTATCAGACCTATATAGTGCCACTCAACCAGGGATCCCTCTCTTCATGTAACTTTGTTCAGATGGATCCTCTGCCCCATCCTGTACCAGTGATTCCTTTGCACTCAAGAAATGGGAATACTATTTGGAGGCTAGGTTAAAAATGGGAGTGAGGTAGCACAGAACAGGAAAAGCAAAGTAATTCTGGAGCCTCAAGAACTCTAGGAAGATGTTAAGAATGGAACTGAAGCTGATTTAGGGTAGTATGAACTTTCAAGAGATCCTGAACTAGGCTGTGGCCCAGATTCCTGACTCACACAACCCGTGAAATAAGAAGTGCTTGTTTTAAGACACTAAGGTTTGGAGTAATCTGTTACATAGCAATAGAAACTAATATGATAATCTGTGACTCTTACGGCCTTTTATATGTGCATATGTTTAAATGTTATATATATATTTAAATAAACTATTACAGGTTGGCCTGAGAATCTTAACTCCAGTTATAATGTTGTTCTTGTGGAAGAGCACACTCTGAATTCTAAACTTTTTCCTTAAAAGCTATTGAAGCATTGAAACACAATATATTTGTAAGTTGAGGATTTTCTATATTTAAAGGATACTCTTTTAAAATATCTTATCAATATTTTCATAATCTTCATAGGGTCTAAGTTGAAGGATTGTGTGTGATTTGATATTCCTTTTATACTTCCTTCTGCATTTTCAGAGTTTTTCCACAATAAATATATTCTACTTTTTCCCCCTGGTAAACTCACATGAGTTATTTTAAGACTAACCTGGCCAGGTGCAGTGGCTCACAGCTGTAATCCCAGCACTTTGGGAGGCCAAGGTGGGTGGATCACCTGAGGTCAGGAGTTCAAGACCAGCCTGGCCAACATGGTGAAACTCTGTCTCTACAAAAATAGAAAAATTAGCCAGGCATGATGGTGGGTGCCTGTAATTCCAGCTACTTGGGAGGCTGAGGTGGGGGAATCGGTTGAACCCAAGAGACGGAGGTTGCAGTGAGCTGAGATTGAGCCACTGCACCCCAGCCTGGGCAACAGAGTGAAAGACTCCATCTCAGAAAAAAAGAAAGACTAACCCAAATATTACTTCACCCTAGGCTTGCCCTCTTCCAAGGCAAGATTTAAATGGCTCCTTTCAGTTCTGTTTTGAACTTCCCTCTCTCCCAGCACTGATCACACTATCGTAATTTACCTTTTTATCCTGTGTTCCCTGCTGGACCATGTGCTTATTAATTGTATTCATGTGCTGTGAGTCTAGAAAAGTGTTCATACACAGTACAGGCGCTCAATAGCCAATAATAACTATTCATAGTAATAGCTTATGAAAGAATGAATGCATACACAAAGGAACTTGAAAAAGAACTTTAGACATTTGGAGATACCGCCGTTGTGCATTTCAATGGGTGACTATAGGTGTGATGAACACTGGATTAAAAGAGGCAAAATGATGTCTAAATGAGAAAATCGGATACATCATTTTTGCTTAAACTCTTCCAGTGGTTCCCATTGTTCTCAGGGAATGAAAAAGGATTGAAATATTTTGACCTCGCTGCTGCCTACAGCTATAGCATCTCATCTTTTCCAAACTGTCTCTATCCCTCCTTCTCTTTCTGTCTGCACTTCACCCACCTGGCCATTTTCTATTTCTTACCATCTTTTCTCCACCATTTTACACAGGCTGCTCTTTTCACCAGGAACGACATTTCCTTTACCTACTATAATTTCATGTTGTTAAATTTGCCACAGTTGTAATTTCCCCCTTATTTGTGTGATCATGTATTCATCTGCCTGCTATTAGAGAGCACACTTCATGAGAGAAGATGGTGGCCTGTTTTTGCTCACCAGCACTCATGAGTGATTGGATAACTTTCGGTCACAGGAATTTATCTCTTGAATATATTCTGCAGCTGTATGATGAAAGGCTTGGGTTCTCCATTATAGGAGTTAACATGTAAGTGAGCTGGCAGGAGAGTATTTAAAGACAAGAGGGTATTGTCTGAAGGTAAAACCAATTAAACCAGAGTAATCAGAAAGGAATGAACCCTTAAAAACTGTGCCTGTCATGCCACACCATCACTTCAAGGCTCTTGCTTCTGATTCTGTGAACACAAAAGAAGACATGTTGACTAGATGAACCTCCCTGAGAGGCCTTTGTAAAATAATTATAAATCATATTAATATTCATATACCAAGCACTAAGCACTGTTCTAAGTGGGTTGTATGCATCAACTCAATCCTCACCACAACCCTCTGAGACACGTGGGAGCTCAGGTGACACAAGGAGAAAGTGGTAGACCAGGAGTTCAGACTCAAGCAGTCCAGCTTAGTGCTGGACTGAGGGCTGACAAGGCCTGCCATAAGAAAGGGGACTTAGAACATACAGGGTTGCTCAGGGTAGAAAAATAAATAAATGTCTCCTTCACTTTCACACACTACGTGCATGACACTGGCTCTCCTCTGTTGGAAGTAAAGGAGGTTGAAGGTCCAGCAAACATTTCTTCCAAGAACTGGAGCCACTTCTGTGTCTAAGATTAAGATTTCCCAGCCACTGCCATGTGTTTCCTCTCCTCCCCTAAGTACTCCCAGATGTATATTTCATGTTCTCTATTATGTTAGAGAATACTCAGCTAGATTAGAATCCTAGCTCTGATACTGGTTGTGCAAACTTGGGAAAGTTGTTCAAACTCTCTGTCCCTGTCTGGAAAATGAAATCAACAGTTGTATCATGCTACTGGGAGTATTAGTTAATGCACAGAAAGAGTTTAGCACATCTGTCCCATAATAGACACTGAATTACCTGCAGCTACTATATTTAGTTAGCATTCAATGGCATTTTTTTATCCTATGAACCAACTTAGCTGCTTTATAACATACCTCTTTCTTATTTCTATATCCAGTGATAAGATTGTGGTAACATCCCATTGTTGAGGACATGCCTCTTTCATGAACATAAGGGTCACTGTGATGGAATAGACGTGTATCTAATAACAGAAATAATTTTCACTGTAAGTTATTGGGTTCACATGCCCTTTGATCAACCGAATCACTGAAGAACAAAGCACAATCCTCATATCACAATTTCTTATTTTGAATTTTTATAAGCATGTTTGCGGTTTACAAGTACAATTATTTTCTTGATCATTGGTGTTGAGTGTTGCAGCCAACTGTTTGAGTTCTCTTTTCTCCACCATGGTCAACTGGGGAGGTTGCCTGGGCCAGTCCCTTTCCATCCATCATTTTCCAGTTTTCTGATGCATGAACGCTTCCAGGAGCTGGAAAGCAGCATCAAAGAAAGGTTGTGAAGCTTATTACTGTGTGTAAAGTACCTTGCAATCCCTGACTGAAAGAAGCTATAGAAATGCAAAGAATTCAGTGTGATTTTATCTGCAGAATAAGTTCAGGTCAGAACATCAGGCAGGATTTAAGCTCTATCTCTTGCTTCTTTTGCTATTGTGGATTAAAGTCAGTCCATTTTAATGTTCCTAAAATGTAATTTTTTTCTGAGGATAGCTAGACATGCGATGCTGAAAAGGATTTAATTCACTGTGTTGTCACAGGGATGATGATGTTGGCTCAATTTTGGATGTTAGGAGAAAGCTGTAGGATGCTAAACTCTCCCCCTGTTGCAATTCTCACAATGCAATAGAATTAAGGGGAAGAAGGAGTGCACCTAAGCAAAATGTTAGGATGCTGGACAGTTTGAGAGAGGGGTCAGAGAAGGTTGAACTTGGCAGAATGGCTCCCTGGTGTGGGGCGTTATCAGACCAGAATGGATGAGGATGAGAAGAGAGACACAATCAGCCAGAGGATTGCTGAGTGCAGTTAACTGCTGGAGGGTAATTCTGAACAAACCACAAAGTATTAAAATTAAAAAAAAAAGACACCCTGGGATTAATTGTCATTCCACTGGCCTGTGAGGCAACTGATACCAAATATAATTGAATTACTTTGTAATTATTTCTTTTAGAGTATTTAACCTAAGCTAGGCTTTGGAGATGGAATTTTTTTCTCTCTCTCTTTTGCTTTGCACTGCAAATGGTTTTGCATTATGGATATTTTTCTGCTTTACTGTATTATCTTGTGCAAACTACTCTGGTTTGTTTTCCCCCCTCTTTCTTGCCAATGGGGTTGTTTACTTATCGGAATTAAAGTCAGAAGTGAGCGTCTCTTGCCAGCAGGACAGAATTTCTAATAAATATGTAAATAACACCTCTCTCGGCTGTGGTTGCGGGCACTGTTCTCACGTGGCCCACCAGGCTACAGTCTGGGGCTCAAGCAGGCTTGGAAAAGAGAATAGATTTCATCAATCTGCAGATCAGAAAGAAATCAAATTAAATCAAAGCTGAGAGGGCAAAGGAACAAAGGTGAGGTGGTAATAATGGGCATATGTTCTTGTGCTTGTAGAGTTGGGTCATTTTCTCTGGTCCATGAGTGAAAGTGTCTGAGGGCTGACAAAGCCTGCCATAAGAAAGGGGACTTAGAACATTCAGGGTTGCTCAGGGTAGAAAAATAAATAAATGTCTCCTCCACAGGCAGGCCATGATCATTTCAATATAATAGTGGCAATGCCTTTATCAATCACCTGCTACACCTGTCTAATGCCCTGCTCTATGCCAGTGATAATTAACACCTGGTGTCTACATTACACCTTGAACTCAAAAATACATCTTGAGGGCTGGGGGCGGTGGCTCACACCTATAATCCCAGCACTTTGGGAGGCCGAGGCCGGTGGATCACCTGAGGTCTGGAGTTTGAGACCAGCCTGGCCAACATGGTGAAACCCCATCTGGACTAAAAATACAAAAAATTAGCCAGGCGTGGTGGCAGGCGCCTGTAATTCCAGCTACTTGGGAGGCTGAGGCAGGAGAATCCCTTGAACCCAGGGGGCAGAGGTTGCAGTGAACTGAGATTGTGCCATTGCACTTGCACTCCAGCCTAGGCAACAAGAGTGAAACTCCATCTCAAAAAAAAGAAAAAAAAAAGAAAAAAGAAAAAACATCTTGAGGACATTTGTTGCATTTATCCTTCAGCAAACAAGGAAATGAAATCAAACTTCTGCAGAGGTGAGGGACACGCCATTGAGTGATGCTTAAAAGCATGAGCTCGGCCGGGTGTGGTGGCTCACGCCTGTAATCCCAGCACTTTGGGAGGCCGAGGAAGGTGGATCATGAGGTCAGGAGATCAGGACCATCCTGGTTAACACGGTGAAACCCTGTCTCTATGAAAAATACAAAAAATTAGCCGGGCGTGGTGGTGGGCGCCTTAATCCCAGCTACTCGGGAGGCTGAGGCAGGAGAATGGCATGAACCCTGGAGGCGAAGCTTGCAGTGAGCCGAGATCACACCACTGCACTCCAGCCTGGGCGACAGAGCGAGACTCCGTCTCAAAAAAAAAATTAAAAAAAAAAAAAAAGAAGCATGAGCTCTAGATTGAATTTCACTTTGCCACTTACTTGTTCTCTGCCTCAGTTTTCTCATCTGTCAAATGAGTATTCATCCATTGAACAAATATTGATTGAGTACCACTCTACACCAGACCAGTTTTAGGATATGGGGATACAGCAGGGAACCAAACCAAGGCCCTGCTGTCAGGAATGTCTGCTCTAGTTGACAATAGTACCTACCTCTGTGAGTTGCTATGAGCATTAAATAAATTAATAAACCCTTGGTACATAATAAGTCTTCAATAAACATGAACTAGTATACTTCACCAAAAAAGGCAGAGTACAGACTAGCAGGCTCCTTGGCCCATTGTCTAATCACAGAACAATGTACAGTCTTTAGTTACACAGGGATCCAGCCAGATTATAAACGAGAGCCTTCCTTAAAGTTCTAAAACACTTGGATCCACTTGAATCATGTCAGCAGGTGTTAAGAGAGCCAGAGAGGTGTGTTACATGCAAGTAATTTGATTTTCACACTCTTCCCTTTTCCTGTTGGGAACCCGTCTCAAAGCCTAGAAGTCTAGAATATCTGCTTTGGTGATCTTGCCCTGGCTGCAATTACACTTTATTTACTATCAGGCCCAAGCTGGTTCTCCTGAAGGAGGTGTGGCCTCAGTTAAATGGCACAGTCAGCTTTGTTTTCTGTTAGTCTGTTTCTTCCTGGAGTTTGAGTAGAATGGGGTGATGGCGGGTGAAGGGAGGGGCGTGCCTCCCTCTCTAATGCTCTGGATCTTTTGCCAGCTTAATGGGTTTTGCCAAATGAGTTCCCAGCAAGGAAATCCAGGGCTTGAGTGGAACATGGTATTGGAGATTTGTCAGAGTGGCACGCTTCGGTGAGTCTCTCTCCATGATAAAGAGAAGAATTAATTAGAGTCATAAATTATGGATTACTAATCACTGTACATTGTAAGGAAAAAATACGCAGCTAGGTGTGGTATTTTAAGGGCCAAATGCATGTTTGCATACTTAGCACAGCTCCTCTGGGGCTTCTTGCCTTCCTCTCTTCCCCTCTCTCGGGGTGTCTAACCCAAATGACATCCCAGAGCCTTTATTGGCTTATCCACTAGAAAACCAAATGTGCCTTAGCTTTAGAAGCCTCAAGGAGTAAATATTGTTAGAAGGTGCTGGAATCAGCAAGCAGATTGGGTGCTACCTTTTGGACTGAGGCCGTAGCTAAAGAGAGAGATGTAATTTTGTTACATATTTAAACAGCAACCTTTGAGTGTCATCAAGCCATGGAGATAGGCCTCCCACTGCCACCACCTACCTCCCTCAAAAGTAAAATTATTTGTTTTGATACTAGGCAAAAGACAAATTTCAAAATGAAATTTCTAATATCATAGAATGTTAAGCAGCTATTAAAATGATATTTACATAGAGTTTTTAATGATATGGAAAAAATCTTATAACCTTAAGCACAAAAAGCGGAATAGAAAATCGCATTAATATACAGAATGATCTTAATAAGGTTTTAAAAGCATGAGGCAAACGTTTGAAAGAAATAAGCCAAAATTTCTGGATGATGGAATTAGAAATGCTTTTTCATGCTCTTTTTAAAATATATGCATTTTCCAAATTTTTAAAACATGAGCACATATTACATTAAAAAGTAATGTGAAAGTATGAAAAGTTATTTTAAAAACCTCCAAATCAGCAAGTTGATCAAGGACCGTTCATCCATCCCCAAATGGTGGCCTTTAAGAATGTTTAGGGCACAGGCAATGAATAGCCTGGGGAAGACACTTTTCTTTCTTTCTTTTTTTTTTTTTTTTTTTTTTTGAGATGGAGTCTCGCTCTGTCGCCCAGGCTGGAGTGCAGTGGCGCGATCTTGGCTCACTGCAAGCTCCGCCTCCCGGGTTCATGCCATTCTCCTGCCTCAGCCTCCCGAGTAGCTGGGACTACAGGCACCCACCACGAAGCCCAGCTAATTTTTTTTGTATTTTTAGTAGAGACGGGGTTTCACCGTGTTAGCCAGGATGGTCTCGATCTGGCCTCGTGATACGCTTGCCTTGTTCTCCCAAAGTGCTGGGATTACAGGCCTGAGCCACCGCGCCCGGCCTTGACACTTCTATGAGTGCATTTTCTTTTTTGTTTCTGCCCTTGGGAGTGTTCTGGCTCTCCGGGGACCCATGGCAGTATATCTAGCTTAGAATCGGTGATTAGTAAGTGTTTTTGAAAAGATTATCCCGACAACAAGGTGAAGAGTGTATCAGAGAGGTGCCAGAGTCGGAAGCCTAATACAAGGTGTATGGGCAAGAAATAACGGTAGCGTGGACCAGTATGGAGGGAACGAAGACGAGAGATAAGTGAACAGATTTGAGAGATAATCGGGAGCCTAAATCAATAGGTCTTAATAATGGATTTCAGTTGGGAAATCAGTAAGAGAGGTAGTTGTCAAGAGTGATGCCTCTGTTCTCACTTAGAAGTGGGAACTAAATATTGGGTACACATGGTCATAAAAATGGAAGCAATAGATACTGGGGAATACAAGAGGGAAGAGGGAGAAAGGGGGAGAAAGTTTGAAAAAAACTACCTGTTGGGTACTATGTGTACTACCTGGGTGATGGATTTATTTGTACTCTAAACCTCAGCACCGCACAATATACCTTTGTAACAAACCTGCACATGTACCCCCTGAATCTATTAATAAAATGAAAGTCGAGAAAAGAAAAAACAGAGAGTGATGCCTCTTTTCCTGGCTGTGTAATAAATGGCATAGTGAGTAATTCACTAAAAACAGCAAAACTAAAATATGATCTGGTTGTTTATGGGGAGAAAAGAATATCAACTATCTTTTATTGTATAAGTTTGTCTCACACTTACTGGTGTAAAATAACAAATATCTGTATCTCAATTTCTGAGTATCAGGTTGTGTGGCTCTGGCTCAGGGTGTCCCATTAGGTTGTAATCAAGATGTTGGTCAGAGTTGCATTCACCTGAAGACTTGACTGGGACTAGAGAATCTGTTTCCAAACTTTCTCATGTGGCTGTTGGCTGGAGGCCTTCCTTCCTTATCACATGGGCTTCTTAAGGGAACACTGCATCTGGCTTCCCCAGAGTGAGTGATCCAAGAGAGAAGCCACAAGAAATGAAATGCTTCTCATGACCTAGTCCCCAAATTCATACACTGTCATTTCTGCTTTTATTCTATTCATTAGAAGTGAGTTACTAAGTCCAACCCACACCCAGGGTGGAATTAGGCCCCACCTTTTGAAAGGCAGGTCGATTAAACTGTGGATATAGTTTTAACCACTATGGGATGGGGATGCCAGATCATGAGCTTAGTTTTTTACTTGCTAAGGTTGAGGGTCCATTACGAAATGCAAATCTCAAGTATACATTCATATGGAGCCCAGTTAAGAAACTGGGTCTTGAGACAGAAGATTGCAAGTCTTGCAGATTTACATGGTAATGGAAGATCTGAGCATCAATAAGATTACTTAAGTACAATGTAAGAGAGTAAGATAAGAAAAAAGGATGAATGGTTAAGGAATGCTAACACTTAATATCTGGTTAGAGAATGAATTTTCCAAGGAGATAGAGAAGGAAAAACCAGGAGAGTGTTGTATCATGGAAGCCAAGCAAACAGGACTATGAACCGGAGGTGATAAGGAGCTAATTTGGTGAAACATGAGGCTGGAGGACAAGGTGGAATAGGTTGATTGTCTAAAAGTAGGCACTCATTACATATTATTTTAAATTTTTATTTTGAACTAAATTTATACTTACAAAGTATTTACCAAATAATACAGATTGTCTGTATGTATTCCTCATGAAGCTTCTCATGTTAACCACTTACATAATTATGGGATAATTATCAATTCCATAAAGTTAACCTTGAAATAAAGCTATTAACTAAACTTTAGGCTTTGTAAAAATTTTACCAGTTTTTCCATTATCTTTTTTCTGTTGCAAGATTCAAATTTTTTTAGTTGTGCTTCCTTAGTCTCCTCTAATCTATGACACTTCCTCAGTCTTTCCTTATTTTTCATGAACTTGACACTTTTGAACAGTACTGCTGAGGTATTTTATAGACTCTATCTCAGTGTGGATTTATCTGATGGTTTGTCAGGATTTGAATAAGATCATGCTTTTCTGGCAAGAATACCATGGAAAGACGTGTATTTCTCAAGGGCGCCGTTACATCGATATATCTTGTAACTGATGATGTTAACCTTGATCACTTGGTTACTGTGGTGTCTGTTGGTTTGTCCTCTGTAATGTTACATTTTTCCCTTTGTAATTAATAAATATCTGTGGACACACTTTGAGGCTATGCAAATATCCTGTTTCTTCTCAAATTTTCTCCTACAATTTTCAACATCCATCAGTGGATCTTGCTTGCAAAAATCATTACTTTGGTGTGTGCCTGATGGTGCTTTTTTTCTATTTTCCTCTTTCCCTCTACTTTTATCATTGGATTCTTTCTGTAAGAAAGAGCTGGGAGGCCGAGGTGGGTGGATCATGAGGTCAGGAGATCGAGACCATCCTGGCTAACACGGTGAAACGTTGTCTCTACTAAAAATACAAAGATTAGCCAGGTGTGGTGGTGGGTGCCTGTAGTCCCAACTATCCAGGAGGCTGAGACAGGAGAATGGCATGAACCCGGGAGGTGAAGCTTGCAGTGAGTGGAGATTGCACCACTGCACTCCAGCCTGGGCAACAGAGCAAGACTCTGTCTCAAAAAAAAAAAAAAAAAAAAAAAAGAGCTGTCCTTTCCCCCCATTTATTTATTTATTCACCTATTTATATCTGTATGACTCATGGATATTTATTATGTAGGTTAGAATCCAGACTGCCATTATTTTTAGGCTCATATATTAATATTTCCAATCTTAGCTATTAGGAGATATTTTAGATGCTTTTTTTTTAACACTTCCTTACTTCCTTACTATGTGACAACATAAGATGCTACAAGCACATCTTGTTTTTTCCTGTCTCAGATTTCATATCAACCATTTCTCCGATAATGGTGTTTAGAAACCAAAATCTGGACACTGAGTATGCTCATTGCAACTGGTGTGTCATTACTTTTAGACACGTCAGCGGACATAGCAAGGAAACACATGTATATATGCTAACCCATGTATACACATACATCTGTATTTTTGTTCTCTTTGTGTGTGTGTGTATATATACACACACATATATACATTCATATTCATATATATGTGCATGAGCACATGTATATATGGTGTATGTGAGTTGGAATACACACACATGCACACACACACATATATATGTATTGTGTGTGTGTGTACATAAACCATAGGTGTACACTGATACCACTCAGTTCATTCTGACTCCACAGAATTCATTTTAGAATGAATTCTTTATTTGTAGTTTCACTCCGATGGCAAGAAAGCTAGCACTTATTTGTACAATATATTTACATATTTGGTTGATACTGGTATACAGAAAAAGTATATTAACACACTCCTGTGAAAAACAAATTAAATGACTAGATTTAGCTCGTGTTCAGTTCTTTTTGCCTGTAGCCTTATTGAAGTATCCAATCAAGATGTTTTCCAAAGTTACTTCATTGGTTCTTTTCTTCTCTCTCCCCTTCAGTCTGGTTATGTTATTCATCTGCTATAGAGTTAAGTTCATTTGTTACTTTTTCTATTCTGTGTTGGGTCTCCCATCCAAATTCTGATTGGTTTCTTTATTTTGGTGGGATTCAAAGGGTGTGTAAAACCTTATTGTGATTTCAAGAGCCAGAAGCTGTACTCAGAGAAGGAACCTCCTTCATCATTCCTGCAAAGCACTCCGACTCTCACCTTCATTTCACTCCTTTCCCACAGACCTCCCACTCCAGAAAGTAACCAATTTCCTTAATTTGTGGTTTATCTTTTATTCATTTTTCGTACAAAGGAGAAGATATATGTGCATTTTCTTATAGTCTTTCTTACAAGAAGGATAGTATACCATAGATACTATTTTGCTCTTTGCTTTTTCATTAACAGCATATTCTGGAAATCACTTTATATCAGTTCATAGATATTTTTCTATGAACTGATATAGATGCTATGAATCTATATCAGTTCATAGATATTTTTCTATGAACTGATATAGATCCTATGAATCTATATCAGTTCATAGATTGTTTTTCTTAATGGCTGTGTAGGACTCCATTGTGTGGATGTAGCATAGTTTATACAATGGGTATAAATGAGTGAATAAAATTTCAGAGGGTACTTGGGTCATTTTCAATATTTTGCAATTACAAACAAGCTACAACGAATAACCTTGTACATATGAATTTTTATATTATTAGATGTAAATATTCAGAACAGATTCCTAGCTGTGGGGTATGGGTCAAAACTAAGTACATACATAGTTCTATTAGGTATTGATGAATTGTACTCCAGAGTGCTTGTTTCCTCACAGCCTCACTAGCACATTGTGTTGCCATATTTTTAAATGTTTTTTAATTTGATAGGTGAGAAATAGCATCTCAGAGCTATTTTAATTAGTATATCACTCATTATAAGCAATCTTGAACATTTTTCGATTATTTGAGGACATTTTTATGAATTGTTTGTTTATATTCTTTTTACATTTAAATTTTATATTTATAAACTATCATGTTTTGGGTCCCTTTGTCCTCAATTTTAAAATTTCTTCATTTTATTGGAGATATTAACTCTTTGCCTGTGGTATGTGTATGTTGTGAATATTTTTGCCCAAGCTGTCAGTTTGTGATATTTTTCATGATGAAACTTTTTTTCTAATTTTAGGTAGTCAGATGTACTATTCCTTCTGATATGGTTTGGCTGTGTCCCCACTGAAATCTCATCTTGAATTGTAACTCCCACAATTCCCACATGCCATGGGAGGAATCTAGTGAAAGGTGATTGAATTATGGGGGCAGGCCTTTCCTGCACTGTTCTTGTGATAGTGAAATGAGTCTCATGAGATCTGATGGTTTTAAAAATGGGAGTTTCCCTACACAAGCGCTCTCTTTTTGCCTGCCGCCTTCCACGTAAGATGTGACTTGCTCCTCCTTGCCTTCTGCCATGATTGTGAGGCCTCCTCAGCCATGTGGTATTGCAAGTCCATTAAACCTCTTTCTTGTGTAAATTGGCCAGTCTTGGGTATGTCTTTATCAGCAGTGTGAAAATGGACTAATCCAATCAATTGGTACCAGTAGAGTGGGGCGCTGCTGAAAAGATACCCAAAAGCGTGGAAGCACCTTTTGAACTGGGCAACCAGCAGAGGTTGGAGCAGTTTGGGGGGCTCAGAAGAAGATAGGAAAATGTGGGAAATTTTGGAACTCCCTAGAGTCTTGTTGAATGGCTTTGACCAAAATGCTGATAATGATATGGACAATGAAATCCAGGCTGAGGTGGTCTCAGATGGAGATAAGGAACTTGTTGGGAATGGAACAAAGGTGACTTTTGTCATGTTTTAGCAAAGAGACTGGCAGCATTTTGCCCCCATCCTAGAGATTTGTGGAACTTTGAACTTGAGAGAGATGCTTTAGTGTATCTGGTGGAAGAAATGTCTAAGCAGCAAAGTATTCAAGAGGTGACTTGGGTGCTGTTAAAGGCATTCAGTTTTAAAATGGAAACAGAGCATAAAAGTTCAGAAAATTTGCAGCCTGACAATGCTACAGAAAAGAAAATCCCATTTTCTGAGGATAAATCCAAGTTGGCTGCAAAAATTTGCATAAGTAATGAGAAGCTGAATGTTAATCACCAAGACAATGGGGAAAATGTCTCCAGGGCATATCAGAGACATTTGCAGTAGCCCCTCCCATCACAAGCCTGGAGGTTTAGGAGGAAATAATGGTTTTGTGGGTTAGGCCCAGGGTCCTTCTGTTGTGTGCAGTCTAGGGACTTGGTGCCCTGCATCCCAGCAGCTCCAGGCATGACTAAAAGGGACCAAGATACAGCTAGGGCTGTTGCTTCAAAGGGTGGAAGGCTCAAATCTTGGCAGCTTCCATGTGCTGTTGCGCCTGTGAGTGCCCAGAAGTCAAGAATTGAGGTTTCGGAACCTCTTCCTAGATTTCAAAGGATGTATGGAAATACCTGAATGCCCAGGCAGAAGTTTGCTATGGGGATGGGGCCCTTATGGAGAGCCTCTGCTAGGGCAATGTAGAAGGGAAGTGTGGGGTCAGAAACTCCACACAGTGTCCTTACTGGGGCACCATCTAGTGGAGCTGTGAGAAGAGGACCACCACTCTCCAGACCCCAGAATGGTAGATTCACTGACAGCTTCCACAGTGTACCTGGAAAAACCACAGACACTTAACACCAGCCAGTGAAAGCAGCCAGAAGAGGGCTATAACCTGCAAAGCCACAGGGGTGGAGCTGCCCAAGACTGTGGCAGCCCATCTGTTGCATCAGTGTACTCTGCATGTGAGATATGGAGTCAAAGGAGATCATTTTGGAACTTTAAGATTTTGGACTTGCATGGGGCCTGTAGCCCCTTTGTTTTGACCAATTTCTCCCATTTGGAATGGCTGTATTTACCCAATGCCTGTACCCCCATTGTATCTAGGAAGTAACTAATTTGCTTTTGATTTTACAGGCTTATAGGCAGAAAAGACTTGCCTTGTCTCAGATGAGATTTTGGACTATGGACTTTTGAGTTAATGCTGAAATGAGTTAAAACTTTGGGGGAAGTCATGATTGGTTTTGAAATGGGAGGACATGAGATTTGGGAGGGGCCAGGGGCAGAATGACATGGTTTGGCTGTGTCCCCACCCAAATCTCATCTTGAATTGTAATTCCCACAATTCCCATGTGTCATGGGAGGGACCTAGTGGGAAGTGATTGAATTCTGGGGGTGGGCCTTTCCTGTGCTGTTCTTGTGATAGTGAATGAATCTCATGAGATCTGATGGGTTTAAAAACAAGAGTTTCCCTGGACAACCTCTCACTTTTTGCCTGCAGCCATCCATGGTAAGATGTGACTTGCTCCTCCTTGCCTTCCACCATGATTGTAAGGCTTCCCAGCCATGTGGAACTGCAAGTCCATTAAGCCTCTTTCTTTTGTAAATTGCCTAGTCTCAGGTATGTCTTTATCAGCAGCATGAAAATGGACTAATGCACCTTCCTTTTGTTACCTCTGAAATTTTATTCACTCATTACATATTTATTGACTTAAATTATGCCCCTTTTCCCAATCCAAACTAAATTCAGGCACTAAACATGTTTAATCATCCAAGGAAGTAATAACCTGTATTTAGTTCTTGAAATCCCTCTCCTACTCAAACAAAAACAAATTAGAATTATCCTGGGTAGTCTCTGAGCAAGTTTATTAGGTTGCTAACTTTCACCCAACCATTTCTCATTTGCTAACTAACCTTGGATTTCTGCTTGAATAGATTTCTTGGCTCTGTTTAATATGTTATGTTATTTGTGACTCCAAAATATTCTGTCTCCTGGAAGAACAGAAATCCCTTAGCAGTTAACTGCCACCTACCACCTACCTAAGAGTTAGCAAAACAAATGCTTAACACTGATTATAGTCAATAGATTCCATATATGTATATAAGCACATGTTTTACAGAAAACCATAGTGTCAGCAATAATCATTGAATTTCAGCATGACTAGTTTCCTGCTTAAAAATAAGCTCTGTGCCAGGTACTGTGGGTTCTATCAGAGAATTATAACATACAGCCCCTGCCCTTGTGGAACTCACAGTCTTCCTAAAAAGCTAAAATAAACACACATGAGAGAAGTAGATTACAACAGAAAGTTGTCTATAATCAAGAGCTTGCCTCTAGAATCCAGAATGCTGGCTCTAGTACAATAGTCATTATTTCAAAAAAGAGAGAAATCACTGAGGGCTGGTCATGCAGTGAATCTTGAGCTAAGCCTTGAGAAATGGTAGGATTTAGATAGGTGGTGAAAAAGGAAAGTAGGTGGGAAGAGCATCATTCACTCATTTCACCAAATTGTATTGAACTGAATACCTATTATGTGCAAAATAGTAAACACTGGCTACAGGTAAAGTACAAAAATGTTACAACTCCTGACCTCTTTAGAAAGTACACACACACAGACACATTTTGCAAGATTTCCTCATTATTTTAATGTTTTCAATATATAGTTTGCTGAAATATATAAAACGAGATTTATCCAAGCATAGCCTCTAA
The DNA here is from genome assembly GCF_000001405.40 of Homo sapiens. Taxonomy (NCBI): domain Eukaryota; kingdom Metazoa; phylum Chordata; class Mammalia; order Primates; family Hominidae; genus Homo; species Homo sapiens. Next base: position 209,022,398 of record NC_000001.11, read on the forward strand.
AATGTTACAGGTGGTTTTGTCTCATATATTTGCAAAACCTACAGAATGTTTTAAATGTTTTAGTCTTTAAGAGACCTTCTCAAATCTGTCCATGTCCCCCTTTTCTTTTTTTTCCTCCCTTAACAATATTATTAAACAGTGAGTAGTATAACCCCTGTTTCACTGGTGAAAGAACTGATATTTATGAAGTCAAAAATTTCTTTAACAGAAGGGACAGAGGAGGACCCAGGGCCACAGTGCTGAAGTAACTCATGCTAGTCCACCTTTTCTTGACTGAAGTGACTTTCATACTAGGGTGAGGCTAGACAGAATAGATAGAATCTAGACAATTCCCAAGCGCCAGCCCTGGTGTGTATTGATAGCAGACCAAGCACGATGCTGGGTTGGTCTTTAACTACCTCTGTGATATGAACAAATTCCTCTCCTTTTCTAGAACTCAGTCTCTTCTGAAAAATAAGGGGTTTGGACCAGATATTCTCTAATGCCCCTTGAGTGGTAATCGTCTCTGTTTCTAAGCTCCCAGCCAGCTTGTGCTGCATTCTGCTCTGTTCAGTCATCAGAATGTTCAGAGGTACGGGGTCCAATGCTGGGAAGGCACCTGGGCCAGTTGACCTCTACAAACACCCTCACCTCCATATTTGCCAGTGAGTCCTCATGAGTATGCTGCACTTACATCACTCCAAGGACCTTTGATGCAGTAACTGAGAGCCTTGAGCTGCAGAAAAACAGGTAGGAACAGAGTGGAGGAAAGAAGTTGCCTCTGATGGGGGTATCTCAGGTTAAAGGATTTTGTACTCAAGTAGCAAGAAATGTGATAAAAAGAATCACTGGGAAAAGTGAAGTCTCCTAGCCCCTGTTCTGAGCAGCACTGTGAAAAATAAAGTAGAAAAAGCCAAATTTACAGATCATCTAGGGAAGCTGAAATCCAGCAGTAAGATATTAAACACAAAAGAACTAGAGTTAACCTGAGGCGTTATTGGTTTGGGGAGATGGGCTATTTCCCCAAGGTCCATAATTAGAACCAGGAACTTTTGCATGTAATTAAGAGTAAGAGATTGTTTTAACAATCACAGCTGAGCAAGTCTGAAACTTTTTTTTTCCAACTAGCATTTGGGATTAGGGGTGGTTTGGCTTCTTTTTTCCTTTCTCTCACTTGTGAAATGTGAGAGTTTCCTGACTATTAGGAAATTGAGGCTAATTCTACTTCCACAAGCATTTTTGTTGCTAATAATAATAGGATATGTTTTGCGTATGTGATGTGAAATCAACAAGGTGCCCTACAGAAGCAAGATGGCCTTTGAGGCACTTTTTCCCCATCAAGATAAGCTGTCACTGAGCAGCTGATTAATTACTGCAATAATCATAATTTTTAAAAATTAAAAAAAATCTCTTCCCATTCATTAAGTAACTGCAGATAGGTGCCAGAGGTAATTATTGTCTAGAAGTACTTCCGAATTATCTTTTCTAATCCAGCCATGCTGACATTTTTGAGAGGAAAAAAAGTGTTTAGTCTTTCCTCTTATGAACAGGATGACATTTGAATATGCAAACAGTGTCAAAGTCTGCCCTGTGGATGTTTTCTGGAGGTATGATTTATGAGGCCAGCCTATTGTATTTGCTATCACACTAGGAGAAAGGTCATTAAACAAAGGAGCTCTACCTACTGGGGTCTACAGCTCATCTTGTGATATTTTAATTGTTGCTCTTGTGCTGACTTCTAGGCATGCTTCGTGGGGTGAACTGCATGGACACTAATTTGTCTGGGCTTTGCATATATTCTCTCAGATTTGTGGCGTAGTTTGTGCCTACTTTCAGTCACTCCTGGGATGTAAGTCAGGGATGGTGAGTATAAGGATAGCACATGGAAAATCTAAAAATCTCATCTTAGTTGATGGGTTCAACTTTCCCCCTAAGGGAAGTAATCATTTCTTAAGTACACAATTGATATGGTTTGACAATGTCCCCACCCAAATCTCACCTTAAACTGTAGTTCCCATAATCCCCATGTGTCATGGGAGGAACATGGTGGGAGGTAATTGAATTATAGGGGTGGTTACCTCCATGCTGTTCTCATGATAGTGAGTTCTATGAGATCTGATGGTTTTATAAAGGGGTTTTCTTCGTTTGGCTTGGCATTTCTCCTTGCTCCTGCCATGTAAAGAAGGAAGTGTTTGCTTCCCCTTCTGCTATAATTGTAAGTTTCCTGAGGCCTCCCCAGCCAGGCTGAACTGTGAGTCAATTAAACCTCTTTCTTTTATAAATTGCCCAGTCTTGAGTATATCTTTATTAGCAGAGTAAGAATGGATTAATACAACAATATATTGGCAGCTCTAAACTTGAGATCATAAAACATCTGAGCTGTTCATTGTCAATTCACCTTCCAAGAGACTGACTAGGTGTGCCCTTCCATAGGCTCTAAGGTAAATATAACCGAAGTCAATATAACCACATTATAACCGAAATATAACCACAATCTTAGAGTTAGAAAGCTCTCAGATGTCATCTTCCTTCCACAATATGACTCTCCTCTCTAACACTCCCAGAGTGGTCATTCAATCTCTGCTTAAATATCCCCAATAATAAAGAATTCACTTCCTAGTCTCCAAGAAGCCCCATCCATTTTTAGACAGCTCTGAAACTATAATTTTATTTTTTAAAGCACTGAAACTTTTTAATGTAAGTTTTGCCAGTTTCATCCTAGCTACATCCTCTAAAACAATGTAGAATCTTTCTCCCATATTTCAAATAAAGCTCAAAATAATTTATTCCATAAATCTATTCGGCACTCAGCTAAACATTTTCTCAGCTGAGAATGGTTTTGCATCCTTTCCTAATTTGTTAGAATAACACTTAACTTTTTTTAAAAACCACTACAGTGGACATAATGAATTGTGGTCACATAGAGGTTCTGGTGTTACATATACTTTCTAATCTCCTAGACACAACTTGACCTCTTTATCTCCCACTAGAGAGGTTTATTGGAAAGGGAAAAATGTAGCATTATTAAAACCTTGAATGTTTATCATAGCTACAGATAAAAAAAACCCAACTCAAATCAGTTTTAAAAATGTTTAAATGTATAAGCTTGCATAATAAGAAATGTAGGAGTGGGGTGGGATTTCAGTATTGGTTAATTTGGTGGTGCAATAATGTCATAAAGGATCTGGTTCTTTCCACATCTCTGCTTGGCCATCTCTACTGTTAACTTTAATTCTGATTCCTTTCATGCTTATAGAAGAGCTGCCAGTGGCAAGATGGCTATATGCTTTCTTTAAATGTCTGACAGGAGGGAAAGACTGGCTTCTCTTTGCTATCTCAAAGAACCGGGAAAAACTTTCTTCAGCAAATTTTTCAAGTAGTTTCATTAATCAGAATTGGGTCACATACCTATTCACAAACATCATGGTGAAACTGATCCAAAACCAAGCTAAGACCCATCAGAGTCCACCCCAACACCCCCAGAGCTGGAGATGTGGTTTTGCCCTGATTCCTATGAGGATGGGTATCTGAGTCCATTTGGGCTGCTATAAAAAATACTTTAGATTAAGTAAGTAATATAGTAATATATTATACAATATGATATAGTAAGTAATATACATTTATTTATTACAGTTCTGGAGGCTGGGAAGTCCAAGACCAAAGTACCAACAGATTCAGTCTCTGGTGAGGGCTGTCTCTCTGCTTCCAAAATGGTACCTTGTTGCAGCATCCTCCAGAGGGGAAGAACACTGTGTCTGCATACGGCAAAGAGATGAAAGGGCCAGACAACTCTCTGAAGCCTCTTTGATAAGGGGATTAATACCATTCACAAGGATGGAGCCCTCATGACTTAATCACTTTACAAAGGCTTCACCTCTTAATATCACCACAATGGGTATTAAGTCTCAACCTATGAATTTTGGAGGGACCCATATATACAATGCATAGCAGTGGGTGATTGGGCAACTGATGCATGAGTGGAATTTTAAGCAAAAGGTAGGCAACAAACATTATGTAGTAGACTGTTGTGACAAAAAGCTAAATATTCAAAGTTCAATGTCTTTTTTTTTTTTCTTTTGAAGCAGACTCTCGCTCTGTCACCCAGGCTGGAGCACAGTGGCATGATCTCAGCTCACTGCAACCTCCACCTCCCGGGTTCAAGCAATTCTCCCACCTCAGCCTCCCAAGTAGCTGGGATTACTACAGCATGAGCCACCACACCTGGCTAATTTTTGTATTTTTAGTAGAGATGGGGTTTCGCCATGTTGGCCAGGCTGGTCTTGAACTCCTGACCTCAAGTGATCCTCTTACCTTGGCCTCCCAAAGTGCTGGGATTACAGCAAGAGCCACCACACTGGGCCTCAATATCTTATAAGTAAAAACAAATTTTTTTTTGTATGTCTCTTGGGCCAATTGTTTGTCACTTGCCTCCCAGCTCCATTTTTCCCCCTTCTTTGAGTTCCTTTGCAACACAATAGTGGGAAGTAAGCCTGTAAACTACATTTCCCAGACTTCTTTCCCAGCTGGCTTACAGTTCAACATACAGATAGATACTTAACTTTATACCAGTTGGGGTGATGGTCATGCTTTGCAAGCTCTAAAACATGGTGCCAGAATTTGTAACAGCTGCAGTAGCAGAGTATGCTCAAGCAGCCGCAATGACCAGCAAACCTGGGCTCTATGTAGCACCATCTTTCATTAAATTCCTCCAGCTGAAGGTATAATAATCGCTCCCTACAGGTACACATATTTCTTTTTTACCCTTTTTGTTTCTTCAATCCTTCCCATAATTTTGTAACCACATCTCTAAATGAAATTTCCTCTGTTTGAAATATCTATACTGGTTTCTGCTTTCCTGCATGGATGCTAACCAATCCAATTTTAAGCTAATCATAATTCTTTGAGTCATAACCAGGGATCCACTGCCCTGAAAAATCACAGTTTATCTGTTACAAAGCATGCCTAAAATTTGAGACGTAAATTTACTGCTTTGCAGGAGATAACAATGAATAACTTCTGCCCATATCACCTCTGTTTTATTTAGCATTTGCTTTTTTGAAGGGGAAGGTGGGGGGTAGTTGCAAGGAAGTGAAATTCACTGAAATTATTGATAATAAAGAAGATTTTTTATTATCTATTATTGCTAACATAATAAAAAGGGATTATGCTAGTTATTTTTATATGTATGGACTGGAACTGAAACTGGTTCTGTCACTCTATCAGAAGCAATGCAGTTGTAGAAATTGTTCTTTTTTCCTCAAGGGCCACATGAGCACTCTCATGAAGAGCATTTACTCCATCTCCTCCTATTGACACTTGCTTTTTTTTTCTTTTTGAGATGGAGCCTCGCTCTGTCTCCCAGGCTGAAGTGCAGTGGCACGATCTCAGCTCACTGCAACCTCTGCCTCCCAGGTTCAAGCGATTCTCCTGCTCAGCCTCCCTGGTAGCTGGGATTCCAGGCAACAGCCAGCATGCCTGGCTAATTTTCTGAATTTTTAGTAGAGACAAGTTTTCATCATGTTGGCCAGGCTAGTCCCAAACTCCTGACCTCAAGTGACCCGCCTGCCTCAGCCTCCCAAAGTGCTGGGATTACAGGCGAGAGCCACTGCACCTGGCTGACACTTGCTTATTCTTTTATGCAACTCTTTATACTTTTTCTCACCTCATGGTTTCTCCATATTTATTGTTTGTTTCCTAATAGTATAGGTTCCATCTGATCCCTATAATCATCAAATCTGTTGGATCCTCTAGTATTTCCCAATTCAAAAATCTGGAAGAAATAAATCTGATTGGCCCAGCAACACTCTCTTAGGAAAGAAATGCCATAGATCTTGGACTATCCTGGATATTGGGTACCCTTGGGTCAGAGACTACCTGAGGTCAAAGCAGCTATGCTCTGGGATAGCAGGAATAGTACTTGTTTCATGACATAAATAAAGCCTAATTGCTTGTTTCACATTAGGGGCAGAAACAATGTTGACAATGTCCAATGCAAACCTCAAAAGAGTATTACCTTTCCTGCCACACATTCACACAGCCATACAGAACCCAAATTGAATACTGGTATGGTTTAGTTGTGTCCCCACCCAAATCTTATCTTGAATTGTAGATCCTGTAATTCCCAAGTGTTGCGGGAGAGACCCGGTGGGAGATCATTGAATCATGGAGACAGTTTCCTCCACACTGTTCTCGTGGTAGTGAATAAGTCTCACCAGATCTGATAGTTTTATAAGGGGAAACCCCTTTCGCTAGGTTCTCATTCTCTTTGCCTGCCACTATGTAAGACACACCTTTTGCCTTCCGCCATGATTATGAGGCCTCCCCAGCCACGTGTAACTGTGAGTCTATTAAACCTCTTTTTCTTTGTAAACTACCCAGTCTCAGGTATGTCTTTATCAGCAGCGTGAGGACAGACTATTACAAATACTGTGTTTTGTGATTTTCTTTCCTTTAAGGTCTGCGTGTTAACAGGTATAAGAATCTCATTGAGGCACATGGGGATTATTTTCTCTGAACCATTAACCATGTTAGGAAATGTTCTAGATCTTATATCCCAACAAATATGACACGGACTGCACATATTAGATATTTATTAGGTACGTGGAATAGTTTAAAAATAAAAAAAAAACAGGTAAATCTAGGTTCCAGATAACTTTAAAAATAAATTAAACAATTTATTTAAATGTTTTTTTAAAAAATAAAATATCTCAGACGTGGTGGCTCATGTCTGTAATCCTAGCACTTTGGGAGGCCAAGGCAGGCAGATTTCTTGAGCCCAGGAGTTCAAGACCAGCCTGGGCAACATAACAAAATCCTATCTCTACTAAAAATACGAAAAATTAGCTGGGCATAGCGGCGTGCACCTAGAGTCCCAGCTACCTAGGAGGCTGAGGTGCGAGGATCACCTGAGCCAAAGAGGTCAAAGTTGCAGTGAGCCATGATCACACCACTGCACTCCAGCCTGGGTAACAGAACCACACCCTGTCTCAGGAAAGAAAAAAGAAAAGAAAAAGTAAAAAGAACAGAACTCTGTACATGTGAAGCCACATATAAGAAATGTACAATAATCACCCCCATTGATGTTTATATTCTAATTTAAAGGGGAGATATACAAAATAAATGATTAAATGATATATGAAATAGTGAGATAAGGGTCTCATATTGAATCAGGTTTTAAAAAATGAACTTTATCATGTATAGAAGATATGCATGATATCCTTAAAACCTCTTAAAAGAAGCTCTGAAAAAAATAACTGATTACGTGTATCCCATTGTATATTTTCAAAAGTTTCAGAGTACTAAAAGAAATCTAGATGTGCAGGACCATACATATTCAACTCAGATGGACCACCTAATACTTCTCCTTAAGTCTTTCCTTCCTGTCACCTCATTATCTCATGCAGGATTCCCTTCCTTGATCTTCATGCATGTCCCTAAATACACTCCCGCCCAGTGCATTTCTAGTTCCTCCTTTGCTGATACTCTTTTGGTTAACTCTGGTGTCACTCCCTCATATCCATTCTTGCTTCCTGGACTGCCTTAGACTATTCCTCTTTTCCTTTCATTTCAGTTTTTCTGCCCTTTACCCCACCCAGTGGCTGGTTTGTGATACAAAGTATTGGTGGATGCCTGAGAAACTGAAAATTGTTCCAATAGATGTGAAGATGATCAATCTGAAACCAATCCATGTTTAAAATACAGCTTCTGAGCCAAGTCCAAAGGGACCTGTTAAAGATACTGACTGAGGCTATGAACTTAAAAGTCAAAATCCCATGCAAAGCCTGGATTCCATGTCTTGTGCGGATTTAGGGGATCTTTGTTTACATCCTCTCCTCCATACCCTCCTTTAGAATTTCACTTGTAAAAATAAATATCGCAAAATCTAAAATAAAGATCACTAGGCTACATTTCAATTCCACCATGCCTCTTCCCCTTCAACTCCAGGCTATTCATTTTCTAAAAATTCTTATGTTTTACCCTGCTCAGAAGAATAAAGTCTCTTTGACCATTTTCAGCATTTTTCTTTGAGTTTAATCAATATTTGATTTTTTCTCCTTCTCTCTTGCCCTCATGCCTCTCCTGGCACATTGACATATCCTGTTTGTTATCTCCTTTATTTTTTTGTTTAATCTGAAGAGAAAAGGTGGCTGCTTTTGCCAGTAATGTAAATCCAACTTCCTGATTATTCAGTTGAGACCAATTTCTGCCTGGGAGACTGAACACACTACATTCATGAGGCTGACGTCTGTCAATAGGAGTGAGGTGTACAATCTGTAAAGCAGCAAACAGCCAGCACGTGGACCGAGGGCACGCACAGGCCCACTGGGAGCCAGCCTTCACCTGCTGCTTTCCCAGTCTTCCCCCTAGAGGTGTAGGCTGTTTACATATTCTTCAAACCCTCAGAAATTGCCCATAATCTAAACATAAAAATCTGTTAATAAAACACAATGACACTGGAAAGGACTTTCACAAGAGTGACTGGGTGTTTTGTTCGTAGACATTATACTGTGTCACTTCCAGCATGGCAGGATTTGAGCTATAGGGAAGTATACTGACTGGCGTGAGGACAGGATTTGGGTCAAGAGCCTCTTTATGGATGGCAGAGAGCCTGGGAAGTGCCATGAAGAGAGAAAGCTGAGTGGACAGGAACACTTGCTTTTTGGTACCTGCCCCTCAGGGACCTCTTGGCTGAGGCTCTTGGGCAAGTCCCTGAAATAGGAAGCAGAGAACTTAAGCACTTAGAAATGTGTTTGTTTACAAATACCTCACATTTATTTATCTCTTTATTCCTTTAAGTATTTATTGAGCACCTACTATGTGGCACTGTCCTAGACATTAGAGATAAAACAATGAATAAAATGAAGATCATTCCCTTCCTTGTGGTGATTATAGTCCAGTAGAGAAGACAGCCAATAAATAAATATAAAAACATAATTTTACCTATGTCTGAAGAAGAGGGAAAAAGCAGCATAAGTAAATATAGAATGACAAGGTGGGGGCAGTTACTTAAGAAATGGTTGTCAAGAAACCCCTCCCTGGGAGGGGGCACTTGAGTAATGAAGTGAAGATAGAAGTAACTATGTGTTTATCTAGAAAAAGAACATTCCGTAGGTAGAACTAAAAGGGGCATAAGGCAGATACACGCTTGTGTACCGGAGCCACAAGATATGAGTGTGCATGAACATAAGGAAGTGTGAGAAAAAAATAATAAAGAAGCAAGGGAACAGAAGAGGAGAGCCTTGTAGACCCTGGTAAAGAGTTTGAATTTTATTCTGACGGAGTTGAGAAGCCATCAAATGTCATAGCATGGAGGCATTGGGATAAGGATGAGGGTGGTGATCATGGTGAATGTAATATTCAGTATGTGCCCGATCTGCCTCCATCTCTGTAAAATGGGGCCATATGAGAGCCCTACCCCCTGGCCTTTTTGATGATTAAATGATACTGCATGCAAAGCTTTTGAAACAGTGTTCAATAGGAGTTATTATAGTTACTGTTATGATCAACAAGGACCAGGCTATTTGTGCTCACCATTTCAACCGCATGTTGACCCCCAAGTATATTTCAAATACAAATATTTTAATCAGAATTATGCTAACATCAATAAATTTTTGTGGAAAAAGTATTTTTTACAGTGAACTCCATTAAGCCAATTTAATTCCTTAATCAATGTTCCATATTGCACAATTTAATCATTTCTAATTTTTCCCATTTTCATTAGCATTATTTCTTTTCCATTTCAATTTTATGGCAAGGTTTGAAATATCCCTAAAGTTTAAATGATGCAGTCAAATAGTGTTTCAATGTGGTGTGGTTTAAATATCCTGCTGCTTGAGAATTCTGCATCTCAGGGAAGTTAACTGACTTGCCCAAAGACATACAGCTAGTAATTTACAGAGGTGAGCTCCCAACCTAAGCCCTTCTAATTGTGGTACTATGATCTTTCACCATGGTACTCTTCTGGAAAAAAAGAGAGAGAGAATAGAATAATACTAATAACCCCCTACCAGGGTTAATGTGATGCTTAATTGACATAATAAATGAGAAAGTACTTTTTGAAACTATGAAGCACTGTTATTGCTAATAATAACAATAAAAATAAGACTCATCTCTGGGTTTAGAAGAGTACAATGAATTAGTTTATTGCTAGCTGAGTGCATTCAGCTAGATCAAGGAGTTTCATTTCCTAAATGTCTCGATTTGTCAAATGTATCACAAACCCACTTCAGCATATCCTAAGAGCTTCCACCAAGAAGGAGGATAGAGTTGGGAGCCTGTTGGGATTTTGCTCAAAATAAGAGAACAATTGACTACAGTGGCAGAGGTGGTCTTTGAGAGGATCCTGGATCTTTAAAGCAACCTCAATTAGTGCTGGTAAAGTCCAACTGGGGCCTGTTGTCTGTTAAAGAGGGTCTAATTCAAGGCTTTAAAGAGATGATGGTTCTTAGCATAAGGGCCATTCAGTAGTCCTTCTTTGAGTGCTTAATATCTTGAGGCACTGTGCTAGAGGCCAATGGTATGAAAAGACACTGTCTCAACCTGAAGAAGCTCACAGCTTGCTAGGGAAGATAGGCATGCTAAAAAAACAAGCATGATCTACTATAAAACTACGGTGGAGGCAGAGGGGAGGAACATCCATCCCAATATGAGAAGACTTCCTATAGGAAGACTTCCTTGATGATAATTTCAAGGACAATTAGGAGTAATCAGGTAGACAAGGTGGAAAGTACATTCCAGGGTAATGAAATATGCAAAGGGATAGTGATGAAACAGAATGGTGCTTCCAAGAGAACATATGCCATGGCTTGGGTGAAGAGGGAATGAGGCAGGTGAAGTCAGGAAGGGCTCAGGTACAAGAGGAGTAAGCAGATAAGTCAGGGAAAGGGGCTGAGTGCAGGTCTCTGCAAAGGAGAGTGGAGGCCAGAAAAGTATACCCATGCCTCAGGGAGAGAGATGAGCAGGGGCCCAGCCTGTTCAGAAGCCACTGTAGGCACTGACGGGTGGGACAGAGACCAAAGCCAAAGGTCATTGAAATAAGAACAAGTTAGATAGATAAAGGAGATGTTGCAATTGCTACTAGACTAGAAAACGAAATCCACCCCAAAACAATAGAAAAAATGGACCTAAACATACCAGTTGTTTCTGAAAGCTATTCCCGTGGGCATGGCTTCTCAATGTATGGCCCAGGACCAAGTGGGACTGAGGCTTCAAGGACAGATTTCTTGAGAAGCACCAGACTGAGGCTGGGACAGTTGAGGATTGATACAGCTTATATCCCAGCAGTTTGTGGGCACTGAGAAATGAGGTCATTGTTCACTCATGTATTAGTTCATTATCATGCTGCTATAAAGAAATACCTGAGACTGGGTAATTCATAATAAAAGAGGTTTAATTGGCTCATGCTTCTGCAAGCTGTACAGGAAGCATGGTACCAGCATCTGCTTGGCTACTGGGAAGGCTTCAGGAAACTTATAATCGTGGCGGAAGGCAAAGAAGGAGCGAGAACTTCACATGGACAGAGCAGGGAGAGAGAGCAGGAGAAAGAGAGAGACAGAAGGAGGAGGTGCCACACACCTTTAAAAGATAAGATCTTTTTTTTTTTGAGATGGAGTCTCGCTCTTTCGCCCAGGCTGGAGTGAGAGGCACATCTCGGCTCACTGCAAGCTCCGCCTCCCAGGTTCGTGCCATTCTCCTGACTCAACCTCCCGAGCAACTGGGACTACAGGCACCCGCCACCATGCCCGGCTAATTTTTGTATTTTTTTTTTAGTAGAGACGGGATTTCACCATGTTAGCCAGGATGGTCTCAATCTCCTGATCTCATGATCTGCCCGCCTCGGCCTCCCAAAGTGCTGGGATTACAGGCATGAGCCACCGCGCCCGGCCAAAAGATAAGATCTTGTGATAACTCACTCACTATCACAAAAATAGCATCAAGGGGATGGTATAAACCATTCAGGAAAATCCACCTCCATGATCCAATCACTTCCCACTAGGCCCCACCTCCAACACTGGTAATTACAATTACATAGATTTGCCGGAGACACAGATCCAAACCATATCATTTCACACTGGTCCCCTACAAATCTCATGTCCTTCTCCCACTGCACAATAAAATCATGCCTTCCCAACAGCCTTCCAAAGTCTTAAATCATTCTAGCATTAACTCAAATGTCCAAGTTCAAAGTTTCATCTGAGACAAGGTAAGTCCCATCCACCTATGAGCCTATAAATCAAAAACAAGTTAGTTACTTCCAAGATACAATGGAGGTACTGGCATTGGGTAAACACTCCCATTCCAAAAGGGAGAAATCAGCCAAAAGGAAGGGAATACAGTCCCCATGCAAATCCAAAACCCAGCACAGCTGTCATTAAATCTTAAAGCTACAAAACAATCCCCTTTGGCTCCATGTCTCACATCCAGGGCACACTGGTGCAAGAGGAGGGCTCTCAAGGCTGTGGACAACTTCACCCCTGTGGCTTTGCAGAGTTCAGCCCCTGTGGCTACTCTCATGGACTGCCATTGAGTGCCTACAGCTTTTCCAGGTGCAGATTCTGCATATCCTAAGAGCCTCCACCAAAAAGGAGGATATATATAGTTGGGAGACTGCTGGGGAGCTCTTGGTCTGGTGGCCCGCTTCTCACAGCTCTACTAGGCAGTGCCCCAGAGGGGACTCTATGTAAGGGCTCCAACCCCACATTTCCCATCTGCACTGCCCTAGCAGAGGTTCTCTATTAGGTCTTTGCCTCTGCAGCAGGCTTTTCCATACATCCTCTGAAATCCAGGTAGAGACTCCCAAGCCTCAACACTTGCACTGTGTGCAACTGCAGGCTTAACACCACGTGAAGCCACCAAGGCTTATGACTTGCACCCTCTAAAGCAGCAGCCTGAGCTGTACCTGGGTCCCTTTGGGCCACAGCTGGGGCTGGAGTGGCTGGGATGCAGGGAGCAGTGTCCTGAGCCTGTGCAGGGCAGTGGGAGCCCTGGGCATGGCCCATGAAATCCTGGCTCTGTCACTTAACAGCAATTGGATCTTGAACCAATTGTTTAACTTCCACAGCCTTAAGGTTTTAAACCATGTAATGGGGATAGTACTTCCCTTTCAGGGTTATTGTGTGGAATATATAAAATAGTAACAGCAAATAAAAGTAAGCAGTCATATTGCATGCCAGGAACATTCTGAACACTCTACATTTACTGATTCAATTAATACTTACAACAACTGTATGAGGTAGTGTACTATTATCTCCCCTTTAAAGATAAGAAAACTGAGGTATGTAGAGGTTAAGTAATTTGATCAAGTTTATTCAATCAGTAAACAACAGAGCTGAGCTCAGGCATTTTGAGTCCAGAATCTATGCCCCAAATTGCTTTGTATAGGACCAAGGAAGAGGTCAAGAAACAATAGTCATTATTTTGCTGCTGCTGCGGTTGTTATAAGGCCAAATCCATGTGATTTGAGGACACTAAAATAGTACCGTGCCTCCAAGTGATTAATTTTATGGTTAGGGGTAGATTAAAACACAGGGGCTAATATTTTAAAATATTTGTTCAGCATTTACATAGAGGAAAATCTGCATGCTGGACTGGACAGTATGGAGAAGTTAAACCAAAGACAGCACTCAATGTGTTTTCCTATTGTCCAGGACAATTCAGCCCTGGTTGCAAACTTGAGAAATCCGCCAAGCAAAAAAAAGTTCTGTCGTCATGTGCATCCCTTCTTAGAGGTTGTGTGTCAACTGTCTATTGTTCATGTCTACGCTCATTCCAGGCGTCTTGTCATCTTTCTTCCAAACACATTTGATACTATCCCAGACAAGTATTCTGTTAAATGCCACTTATGCATCTGGTAACATTTGTAGGAGTGTGACAGTGTGCCTGATACACTTGTTGCCTGGGTAGCTGCCTAGCTGGCCTGCTCCTTAGTACATGCTGAAGTTGATCCCCAACCTAGGCCTCCAGGTAAAGTCTGAATTCATCTAAACAGTGGAAGAGGAAGGACAGCACTCAAATCCTGCCGCACCCTATACACACAGCACATTAGGTGCCAGCAACTATCTCCAGTGAGGGCAGATAATTTGTCAGATTATATCGAACACAGAGTTAAAAGTTGGGGTATTGAGTGGGGAAGTGCAGAGGAAAAGATGGAAGATTGAGGCAACTAAGCTGGAAAGTCCTAAACATCAGCAATTTTTCTTTTTTTAACAATCTGAAAATTTTTGGCCGAGGAGCTAGAAGCCTTTATTTCATATCTCTTTCAGAGTTTAAAAATCTTCACATCTACCCATTCCATTTGCCCAAAGAAAAGGATGCTTTAAGTGACTAAATGACAAGAGACTGCTTATGTTCCTTCTTAGGGCCTGGAAGTAACAATGCCAGGGCTGTCAGCAAAGCCTAAATGAGTCCATCTTTCCTAACATGGACTTGCGGCAATTCTGTCATGGTAGTTTACATGTGTGTGATTGGATTGACTACAAGGTTTGAATCATGTCTCTCAGTGAATGAGGATTCAACCTAAAATATGAAACCATTGTAAACTAAACAGACCATAAATTAAAAATTTTACTTACAGGCATTTAGAAATTAATTCTCATGTGCTCAAGTATTTTCATGTTTATGCTACATTATGTGATAAAAACCTATTTTTACTAACCTATTTGGCTTATTAGCAGCAATTTTCTATTAATGAACACCAAGCTGGATATTCCTTGGAGGCAAAGAGTGCACTGGATTCTCTCTATCCCAAGGTACAGACACATAGTAGATACTCATAGTAGATACTTAAATGTTTATTGGATAATAGGAGGAATTATTGTCTTTTCTTTTGTATGCAATATATTTTCAAGCGGTTAAGTTGTAATCCTTATAAAATATTGCTATTCAGATTTTCCATGACATCATATTTTACTTTAAGCTGTACTCTACCCTGCCAATATTTTCAAACAGTAAACTTTCATAGAATTTACACAACTACTTCAAAACTTAGCAATTAAATTCACTTTTATTTCTGTAATAAGAGAATATAGACTTAAAGAATTTGATGAATAAAGTCATAAGGATCCCTCCTCCAATTGATTCCATTATTGGCATTTTATAGGTAAGCTGGGTATCTTCAGGTGTGTTTCTTCCCCATGGAATTGTTTGCCCTGTGGCACTGCAAGCCTGGCACTCATTGCTCTTTAGCAAAGGGTTAAAGCAGCCATTTGTTCTCAGAGCATTTTGTTTTCCCCAAGATTTCCATTACTGCTATAAATTTTTCAGCGTGGCTTTTATGTAAATGCAGCAAGAAAGGCAAGACAGAAAAATTTATTTGTAAGCTTTAGGGGGAAAAATGAGGAATCTGAAACTGTTTATTGAAAATAAATGAATATGGAATGTAGAATGGAGGCCAAAGAAGAAATGAATATTTTGTCTAAGTACCACTTGAACAAAACCCCAGAGTAGGAGGTGGAGGCTAACATGGACTGTTTCTGGGGCAACCAAGCATACTTTTGGCTGCAGACAGGCCAAGGTCAAAATCCAAAGTCTTACTCAAAGAAGCCGTAGATCCCACTGAAAGCCAAATCCTGGGCTGGTGGTCAGAAAACTCTGAATTGGTGTGTGTCCTGAAGCAGGTCATTTGATGTCCTCGATCTGTCATAGAAACATTTCCATACCCCACCCACACTTCTGATAGGATGCTATTTTCAGTACTCCCTTGAAAGCTGAAAGTGGGTATTATTCATATCTGTATACTCAAAAACTTCACACATAGGCAGTCATTAATTCATTATGTTACATGGAAGAATTTGAGAACCTTTAAGTATGAAGTGCTTTGTCAGTACTCCGCTTTTGAATATAGGTTATATTATCATTCAGGTATGGCGACATCAACAGATCGGGAGATGACTACCAGTGGAAAGAGTTTGCTACTCACAGATCCCAAAGAAGGCGCATGCCACATTAAGGGGTAGGGACAGGTGGGGAAGGAGACATACAGGAAGGCACCAAGGTAGCTCAGGAGGCAGAGGGAATGAAGGGAAAACGTGGGCAAAAGCCTTTATTGTGGTTTCCGTGGGAAGAAATATGTGAGGCAGGATAAGGATGCTTAGGATTGGCCCATCTGAATAATTTTAATAGGTTCTGGGGAAGAAGGACTGTTCCTGTTAGTCTGGTATCTGGCCCCAGGGTGATTAGAACAGAGATAGTAGCCAGGAATGTGAGAGCCTAATAGAATAGAGGTGACTGGATTAAAGTCATGGGTTACAGAACAGTCCCTCCAGGACCAGCAAGTCCCCAAGATGTCAAAGCATAAGAAAACAAAAAGGAAGATTAATATACTTTGCATATACTCTTTTTAGGTAAACATCAAACCTATTTTACTGTATATTTTTATAGGACAAAAGTAAGGCTCAACATGATTTGAAACTGAGCCGTGGTTACATGGTAGTTGGAAGGACCAAAATTGACAACTAGGTTTCTATAAATCCAAAGGGCATGTCTTCTAGTTCTGACATGCTGCCTTCTATGTCTACTGTTTCCAGTTTGGATTGCAATATACCTCTCCTAGCTACAGGCACATAGCTAACACACACACACACACACAGACACATTCACACACACATACTCATTCACATATCAGTCTAGAATTTCTAGACTGGCAAGATAGTTCTGACAATAACCCAAACTTTAGATTCATATGGTGGAAGGGAGATTTGTATGGGAATGAGGATATTTAGCAATTAATTCTGTTTGTCACCCATATGTTGTGGACCTTGAAAGGTCATTTGGCCCACGAAGGCTGAGCACAATCCTTTCTATATAGTAGATAGTCAAATACTCTCCAAATTGACTTAGGTCTTAGTTTCCTTCCCAGTAACAGGAAGAAATTAAAATAGATATGTTTCAAGGTGATTTATATTATTAAAAATAATAATCCTCTGATATGTTACAATGCCTGAAAAACCTAATATTTTACCTGAAAGAAGACTCAACCAAAAATTATATTATCCCTGCTAGCTTATCCCCCTTCCCTGCTTATAGATCAGCAAGATTGGGTAAGCTTGGTTTCATCAGGCCAGAGTTTATGACTAAATGTGTGAGACATCCTGGGCTGTTAGGAATGAGTCACTTGGGCAGGTGGGCAGCCCGGGTGCAATCTCACCAGGAGCCCCAAAGCCTGCTTCTGTAAGAAACACTGCTACACATGCGATTACAGGAAGTAATTTGGCACTGAGCAGCCCTATTGAGTCATCACTCTTGTTCTTATACGAGACTCGATATTTCCTCTTTTTAATTAAAAAAAGAAACATGCTGGCATTCCATAAATAACATCAGTGATGCAAAAAAAGGCAAGGCACAAAGGAAGGAGAAACTGGAAGAGCCTAACCTTAGCCAGGCTTCGTCTTCCTTAAACTGTCTCCTCTGTCCTCAGCTCAGCAACACCCACAGATCACTGCTGCTGGACAGCGTCTACCCCTGCCCTTGTGGGAGCTAAAGGGATGAAGGGAGGACAAAAAAGGGGGGGACTTCTTTCAAATCTTGTGCTAATGGAAATAGAAAGAAAAAACCATTGATCATTTGAATTGGAACTTGCACTGTCTCTGTGTTACATCTTTAGGATGAGTTTGGAGACAGAGCAAAGGTTAGGAAGTGAGAAGTTGACTTTGGACTTTTTTTTTTTTTTTTTTTTTTGAGACGGAGTCTCACTCTGTCACCCAGGCTGGAGTGCAGTGGCATGATCACGGCTCACTGCAAGCTCCACCTCCTGGGTTCATGCTATTCTCCTGCTTCAGTCTCCCAAGTAGCTGGGACTACAGGTGCCCACCACCATGCCTGGCTATTTTTTTTTTTTTTTTTTTTTTTGTATTTTTAGTAGAGATGGGGTTTCACCGTGTTAGCCAGGATGGTCTCCATCTCCTGACCTCGTGATCCACCCACCTCGGCCTCCCAAAGTGCTGGGATTACAGGCATGAGCCACCGCGCCCAGCTGACTTTGGACATTTTTATTGCTGTTGAAGAGTCAATGGGGCACAATCCAGTGTAAAAAATCCCAGAGTTTTATCCTAACTTTGCCATTGTTTTTCCTTTATGACCTTGGGCCAAAACCTTCACCACTCTGAGCTTTGATTTTTATATGCATTATACAAAAGGCTAATCCTGAGTCATTCCTTTGCTCATTCTACAGTCACTCTTATGTCTTTGACTGTGTGCAAAGCACGGGGCTAAAAGTTTCCTTTAGGGAACTCAGGGTCTTGAGGGGATGGGGTACAGTCTATGAGACTTTGTGCACTTTCCTAATGTCCTAGTGAATTACTCACTCGAAAGAGGCTGTATGATTCGGAATCCCTTCCAGATTTCTTGGTCTGGGATCTGTGAGGGAGGTGACTTTGTTAATTCTCTTGGGCTCCCAGCAATGTTTTGAAATAGCAATTCATTAGATCATCTAATCTTTTAAAGTAATGAAACCTTTCTAACAATAGACTCATATGTACAATTCCAATACATAAATCCGTCAGTAATAAAGCTGCTTTGGCTGAAACTGAGGCAGAAGGTGTGGAGCTTCTTGCTTGAGCTGTCTCTGGAACACCTTCCTCTTAATCCTTTGGCACTGTAGAATACAATTTTAAAACCATTGCTTTATTACCTTTCAAAGAAATTTTCAAGTGAACAAAGTTCTCCAAAATAAATAGAGCCTTGGCACCTGAAGAAGGATGAGTTTGAGCAACATACATGGTTCTCAGCCCTTGCCCTACCTTTTGTTTCTCTGGTGTATTGGTGGAGGCCCATGTCATGTGTGAACTGATTCACAGGACCTCAAGACAAGCCAAGGGCCTAAGAACCAAATGGTAGAGGTTCAGCAGGAAAGTTGTCTCTGTGCCATGGGCAGGAGAGGCCCCATTCTGCCAGCTTAATCCTCAACTCCCACATGGTAAGAGCAAAGCAACAAAATGAAGTCTGCCTTGGTTTTATTGAGAAAATGGCCCAGGAGACATATAATAGAGATAGGTCGGAGGTATGAGAACAAACCATTTCCTACACTCTGATTTCTTTGAGGGAAAGATCCATGCCAACTGTATAATTGTTCCTAGAGAGGTATATGTAGTAAATGGAGACAATATGTATTATTGATGGGATAAATGAGTTAATTAATAATACATGTACTCTGTTTCAAAAATATTATAGAAAAATCAACGAATTTGGATGGTATCCATCCACAAGGTTAGAAAAAAAAAAAACGTTCTCAGCAAACTATCGCAAGGACAAAAAAACCAAACACCGCATGTTCTCACTCATAGATGGCAATTAAACAACGAGAACACTTGGACACAGGAAGGGGAACATCACACACTGGGGCCTGTCGTGGGGTGGGGGGAGGGGGGAGGGAAAGCATTAGGAGATATACCTAATGTAAATGACGAGTTTATGGGTGCAGCACACCAACATGGCACATGTATACATACGTAACAAACCTGCACATTGTGCACATGTACCCTAGAACTTAAAGTATAACTAAAAAAAAAAAAAAAGAAAAAAGAAAAAAAAACAATGTATTGTAAAATTATAAATTTGGGGCCATGACATATTGATCTTTAAATGCCAACATCTAGCATAGAGTCTAGCACATAATAGGCTATTTTAGACCAGTTAGGCTGGTGTGGTGGTCTTTAATGATACTCTAAATGCACAGTAAGATTGTACTTTCTGTCCTTGATTGGGGTCATATGACCAAATCTGTCCAATGAGTTGTGGGTGAGGAATGACGTGTGTGACTCTCAGGCTGATTGTGCAATGGCTGATGTAAGACTCTCCAGGACTCTTTTCTCTGTATCAGACTGACCAGTAATAATGCAGACGGTGGCTGCTCCATTAGTCTGGGTCCCAGAGAGAGGGTAACAAAGTGGGTACATAGTGGAGAAGATTCCTCAGACAACCTTCAATGATCAAGTAATATGAGTAAGAAACATTTGTGGTTTAAACCGCTGGGTTTTTAAGAAACCACATTATAACCTAGCTTATCCTAATTGATATAGCTAGGCTACAATAATAAATCGATCCAAGCACTTAATTGCTTAGTAAAATAGAAGTTTAATTTCTGCTCACTAACTGTTCCATGTTGGTAGGTGGGAGTTGAGGGCACACTGGTCTATAGTTACTCATGATCCAGGAGGATGGCCACTTTGCCATATTAAACGGTTTTCAAGGTCACTCAGTGGGCTTCCCCATTTCAGTTATATCATTTTACAGTCTAGTCACGTGACTACACCTAATCGCAGAGAAGGTGGAAAAACATATAGCTGTGCCCAGGAGGAGGAAGTTGATTTTGGTAAACAGCAGTATTTCCCACATAGGGATTCAATAAGTACTTGTTGAACAGAATAAATGAACATACATAAATGCAAACGAAAGGCTAGGTTGCTAAGGGCTTTTTGAGTTTACAGACCACTGAATCATTTTATCTAAGCAGACATGTACAAAACCATTCATGGCACTACAAAACCCTTCACAGCCTCTATTCTCTAACCTAGTGTATAAGTTTCTACTTTTTTGAACCCAATCTATACTTCATGACTGTCATATGCCTAGAGTGATATTCAAAATAGTTAACTTATATGACATGGGCTCTGTCCTGTCAGAACAGATTTTGCCCAGTGAATAAGAATGGATCCCAATTGTAAATACTGGTAGAGTAGTCATATTAGGTGAACGTGAGATCTGCCTCTCGCCACAATGACCACGTTGTCCAAACCAAAGATCAGGTCAGAACATGTAGTCTATCAAGTGTCAAGGTTGAAATATTAAATCATATAAATATTCAATTCATTATATTAAAATATATATTTACATAAAATTCAAACTGTCCAAAAATATCCAGGATGAATGGCCGTCATGTTCATACAGGAAATTGGAATCCTTGTACTTCCCCAGCACATAGCATATAAACAAAAGGTATAAACAAGAGGCTATGGAGGGAGGTAATCAGAAAAGATTTCAGAGGATGGGTGGCATTTGAGCTAATTTGGAAAGGTAAGCCATATTTTGACAGTCAGAGATGGTAATGGTAGAAAGGACTTTCTAAACAGAAATGCCAGCATATGAGACGTTTTGATTTTGCCTTTCTTGTGGCATTTATTCTGGTGTATTTTATATTCAACTTTTGTGACGATTTGTCTTATCCTCCCTGCTAGATTGTGAGATCCTTAAGGGCAGAGGAGAACTTCATTCTCTGCATCTCTTCTGCTTTCTGCAATGATCTATGAATCATAGGTATCTACTAAGCATCTATTGGCTATATAATAAAAGGTAGAATCATTCAACAGGGAATGAAGTAAAGTTAAAATACGGTAGCACAGTTTTAGCAAAAGAAAAGCCTTATTTAAGAATTCTGTACCTTCAGAAGTCAACCTTAGAGATCCATGCAGTTGAGGCAGAAAATAGCCACTGTCCCAGGTCCTTCCTTCCCACTGCTTGTATCTACCCCCTATCTTTGAGCTGTTTGTCAGTTTCTATCAGGCTTGCTCCCATGGGCACCGTCTTCCTCAGACGCTGGTTTACCTTATTTGTCTCCTGGTCAACCTCACTCACTTTCTCTATTCTCTACAAACTCTAGGCCTCCCTGCTTTACCTTTTCCTCTCCTTGGCCTCCTTTTTCCTGTCCTTTCTACTGATCAATGCATTTCTGGTCATACTGGCAGCTGGATCCACTCTTCATCCAGCTGGGTCCAGCTATCTCATTCTTGTGGTGTTTCTGAACAAATAAATTAGAACTTGGGAAAAGAGAATTAAAGGATGCAATTATTTCTACTTTCAAAAAGCCTTTGACTAAATTATATACTAAGTGATATTTTTTTCCTAACAACGTCACAGAATTAAAGAGATATTTTTTCTTCGTAGCTAGGGAACTGGCATCGATCCAGGAATGAAAGGATTAAAATAAATGGGCATGCTATGACAGAATGCTAAGAGTAGGATCACCAAGATATTAGATTCTTGATCACTGATATTTAAAGTTTTGGCCAATGAAGAACAAGAGGGAATATCCAGTTAAATTTTCAAGTTTGCAGATAACAGAGAATTTATCCACATGGGAAGAGAAAACTCCTGCGATGTACTTCCAAAAAACATCAGGAGAAACCAAGTGGAGGTAAAGAGGTGCAGGTCTATTTTGACATGAACAAGAATAAAGCGATGACTTAAGAGAAAAAAAAAATCTACCTATACTCAAAGGACACAAAGCTCTTAGTGATCATGAGAACTTGATAAGAGGATTTAGAAGACATTGTAATCATTCCCTGAAGAAAGCCTATGACCTTTAGGGGCAAGAAGATATTGAAATAAGACAGAAAACATTGCTGCACCCTTGTACAAGCCATAAATATTCCACTCTTGGAATCCTGGATTCAGCTGGGGCTGCCTAACCTGTCCTCATTTTATAAACAATGAAGTAACACTGCAAAGCTCCAGAGAAAACAACAAAAATTATCAACAGGATGCAATATATGAAAATGAATCAGGAAGATTAGAACCACGTGGAAAGAAAAAAATGTCGAGAGGGGATGTGTTTTGAATCCTTTAAAAGACTAGAGTTTAAAAGATGGTGTCATATAAAGTATCTATCAACTGTAAAGTGTATACATGTGAAGCATGACCTACTGAATCTTAAAAATATAAAACTGAAACCAGTATCAGTGTTTGTCAATATTTGATTTTTCATTATTTCATTCTCCTGAAGAGTTATTGAGCACCTACTATATGCCAAGCATTCAACTCGGCTCTCAGAATACCTAGATAAATAGGATGTGGTTCTGCCCTTGATGGGAAATTTAATCAAAGAGAGAAAACTACAGAAAACTAGGCATGATTGCATTATTTGAAGCATGTCCTAATGAGAGAAAAGGGTCACTGGACTTCACAGTGGAAGTGACATTTGATCTGGGATTTGAAGAATGAATACAATTATGTCATCAGGCAAAGTGGAAAATAATATTTCAGATACAGAAAAAGAGCATTAAAAATATACGGAGATATGAAAACAGGTGGTCTATTAAGAGATATGTGAGGGACTAAATGGGAATTAGCAAGTTGGGCTCCATCCCAGGTGAGAAGAGCCTTTGAAAGCAACACCAAGAGGTTTACGAGTGGCTGAGTCATTTGAGCTTTTAAGGATTGAAATAACACAATCAGATTGGCATTTCAGAAATGTAGCTCAACATTTGTTACCCTATGGGAGTAATGCAGCCTAGAAAATATCTATGTTCAAAAATGTCTTCATGAATTAATAAATAATAGAAAATTAGAAGAATTCATGGGAGACCCCAACTCTTTCTGAGGCCAACAACACTAGAATGCTAGGGCAGAATAACAAATGGCTTTATCCTTGCCAACCACCAGTCAGGACCTGAGCAATTCGGAGTGTGCAGTTTTCCACATCACTTGATCATCTAGAATAAAGCCTGCTTACGCTGAGTGTGCCCATGAGAGTATTAGAAAACTAGAAGCCCTCTTACAAAAAGGAAGTACTGCCCTGTTCCAGCAATGAACTTTTGGGAACCTGAGTGGACTTTGCCCAGCCCTACAGTATCACCTGTGAGATTTCACATGGCTGTGCTGCTGCTGTTCAAACCCCATCAAAGCTGCAGCAAATACAAAGGCAGCACAGTAACAATCAGTAAGGAAGAATCTATCATATGACAAAGAAGCTGGTATAAGGGTACAAAGTAAAACCACCTGGCTACTAACCTAGCACTTTTTAAAAAAAATGTAGAATACCTCAATGTATCTGCAATAGATCCCAAGTCTGTTTCTGGATTTTTTTTTTTTTTTTTTTTTTTTTTTGAGATAGGAGCTTACTCTGTCACCCAGGCTGGAGTGCAATGGTGCAATCACAGCTCACTGCAGCCTCAAACTCCTGTGTTCAAGCGATCCTCCTGCCTAGCCTCTCAAAAAGCTGAAACTACAGGCATACACCACCACACCCAGATAATTTTTTAATTATTTTTTTTGTAAAGATAGGATCTCACTATGTTGCCCAGGCTGACCTCAAACTCCTGGCCTCAAGTGATCCTCCTCCCTCGGCTTCTGAAAGCGCTGAGCCACCGTGCCCAGCCTGTTTCTGCAAGTGTTTTCAGCAATGGTTAGAACAGTTGCTTGGTTAAGACAGAAGCTGGAGAAAAACCAAAGGATTTTCATCCTGCTTAAAAAAAAAGAGATTAGCATTTAAAAGTTTTCATATTCAAACTGGGGTCAGAGAAGTGAGAGGGTTTATGAGGAAAATTTAGAATAGAAAGCTGAGCTAGGATCAGTGATGGATCATGAAAGGCATGAGAGATCCAGTTGGAACAAGGAGAAAACTCTTCCCAAAGGTAAAATATTTGCTTGTTGTTAACGTATCTTACAGATTTATTTTTCTGTTTATAGCTTACAAAATGCTTTTAACAGTGTATGTAATTTTACCATTATAATCTCCATTTTTACAGATAGAGAAACCTGAAACTCCACGAGGTCAACGGCCCAGCCAAGTTAGCACAGCTAGTTAGCAGTAGGCTGGAACTGAGGAACAGATCTTCTGAGTCCTTTGTACTCTTCCCTCTGCTGCATCTCATACTGTGGTATGAGGTAACTCTGATTTTTTCATGCTCCTGGGCACTCAAGAAGACGGCCTAGACGTGCATCATTGTTAAGATGTCTTAGGATGAATAAGAAAATGGTAATAGAAGGGGCTTCAGTTCCTGGGCCTGAGAGCTGCTGAAGGCTTTTGACAGTTCCAGGTGGCAGCAACAATCACTGGCACCAATTGCTTCAAAGTGCTTTAAAATTTCTGAAGGACAGAAGTATTCTTCGTCGTGGAAATTGTGGGCTCAGATCTACAGTTGCCTCACTTTGACAAAGTACATCACTAATCACAGATAATGTTTATTAGTCCCTCTCCTACTATCCCCAGCAAACAAGGAAAGAACATTTTTTCCAGGGGGAAACTGCAGAAAGCAGGTGAAGCAGGTGATCCAGCATCCCCTAGAAGGTCTTTGACAGAGATATGAATGTGTCACTTAACACCCTGAAACACCAGGATCCCTGTCCACAGTGTCTCACCTATTCCCTCCTCCTGCTTTGTGCTGCTCTGCAGCACTGGACCTACGATTGAGTACATGTGGACGGAGGACAATGGCTCATGGTTTCAGACAATTGCCCCTTTAGAAGACCAGGGGATAGCCCGGCATTGATGCTCAATGAATTTTTAAAAAATCAATTTTTTTATCAGCAGATGAATCTTAACAGGGCTGTAAAATGATACCATTTTAAGCAAAGACATCACTGATTTCCTTTAATTTTGCTATGATAGACTCGTTGATACCATCTACCCTACCCATGGGGTACTGTTTACTGCAGCCTGGCTCTTCACTTTGAAAAAGGGGACATTTAGAAGCCATCTTGAACAGGCCTGCTCTGTCCATACACATATACTTAGAGCTTTGGGTGCATTTAAATTGCTTTTTGCAGCAGTTGAAGGGATCAATAGCTCTTAGACTCTATAAGAGACTAATAATATACAAGATGGACATTTTAAGCTTTTTAGAAAATATATTCGTGAGGTCGTCCAGTTTCCCCTGGTACCCAACTTTGCTGGTGACATTTATTAATGTTTTTGTAGCAAACAGGAGGCAGAGTTCTCCAAAGGCTCTCATCTCTGTGCTTCCAGAAAATATTGATATTTTTTTTTACAAGAATCGTTGGGGAGGGGGGTAAAAAACTGCTCAAAGCAAAACCAAAATCTACAAAAGAATAACTTAGCTCAAAGCTGGCTTGACAAAGTAATTCTATCTAAATAGCTTTGTGCCACTTGATAGAGACAATTTCTCCTGATTTTTCCTTTGAACAATTTCATAGTCTTCATGAGAGGCATGCTTTAAGAATATTATGTTCTTAATGGTAATGTAGGACTTTCTACTGAATCTTCCGACAAGAGAGAGAAGACAGCTTTACATTACTGTGGATTTGGAAAGCAATTTTAAATTTCAATTAATTAGGGTTAATTAATTAGACATTTGGTAAAAACACTCTGAGATGCCAGGCTGAGGGGAAAAAAAATAACTGCTTCGTGATGGCTGTTTTAAAGAAAAGGCTGGACTCCATTAGAAAGCTCAGTCTGACTCAGAGAGGCCTGGAAGTACTGGGGGTACATGCTTGAATTAGAGAGAAATCAGATACTAGAATTTCTTCCTCCAAAAAAGGAAAAAAATAATTATACTGACTCTTTTGTTAAATTTATGTTTTATAAGACTTCAGACAATAGAAGACTATGTCTGGGCAAGCTGGCTATGACAGTGGTCAGAGGAAGGGGTACACAGGTAGCAACTTAGCTGGGCACATTAGAGACATCTAGGTGCCAAGCCCTGTGTAAGGCTGGGGAGATCACAGTGGGAGAAATAAGCCTCTTCACATTGTTTTCAGTCCTGAGCTGATACTGCAACCAGTGGCTCACACAGTTCACAGAAGAATATTTTTCTTCATCTGCAAAGTGTTTTTGTAATTAGTTGTTAACATTTAGAAATGAGGAAGCTTCACATGGAAATCCAGATATTTAGCTTGTCTTGAAAAATTATTACATATGACCACACTAGACAGTATTCCTGAATCTCCTGTAGCTCAGCAGTGGCATTCCCTTTAAATCAATCATGCATGCTCCAGTCCCCCAGCCCCTTTACTCATATATTACCCACCATCCCTCCTGTAGGCACTGACTTTGTCATAGTCATTATAGACACACACAGAGAATGGGCAAATACACGTATCCACTGCACCGAGCGAGGAGGGAGTGACTTGTGCCTGAACACTTGGAAATCTTAGCTAAACTAGTGTGGCTGTTTTTGCATTCCCCACATATTTTTGCATTCCCCGCATATTTTTCCATTCCCCACATTTATTTGGTTTTCTTTGACATTGTTTCAGTACTATTGAAGACCTTTTTTTTCCTCAAGAATCCCCTATCCCTGTAAAATCCTTTCCAATCACCACTCATTATTGGTAATAACAGGCTACCTAGGGTGCTTCTTGTCTCTAACCCTGGAAGCTCTAACCATCTTGAACAGGGAACAATGCTTCCTGACCCACATATACAAACTGTGTTAAGCACGGGAAGGGAGACTAAGTAGTGGTATCTAACTTTCCAGCAAGTCTGCTGCTCTTTGCCTAGCTGGTAATTCTTGCCCATGAAGCTTCAGTTTAAATGCCAGCTTCCTGGAGAATCCATCCATGATCACCTGCTCAAAGAAGCCCCTTCCCAGTTTCCCACTATCACATATCCTTAATATACTGGTTTCATAGCACTTGATACAAGATAGAATTGGGTTGTTTGTTTGTCTGTTTTCTCATTATTTTTAAAGGCTTTCTCCCCTTCATGGATGTGAGCTCAGTAAGGGAAGAGAGCCTATTTGTCTTGCTCCTCATTGTATCTCCATGCATGGTATAATGCCTGGTATACAGAGGTCACTTAATATTTGCTAAATTAGATGGCTGACTAGAAGGAGCTAGTGTGCGTGGCTCTCATGGAGAGGAACAGAAGTGGCGAGTAAATACAGCACCTTCAAATGAAACATCCAGGAACACACATTAGGACTAATCAAGGAAACAACTCAACCCACAGAGAATGGGGGAAAAGGAGGCAGGATGATGGCCCACCCAGGAGAGACAGGGAGCCAAGGGAACCTCCCCTAACCCAGGGAAGCAATAAGTAAATGTGTGACCCTGGGAATCTACACTTCTCTCACAAATCTTTGCAACCGTCAGGTCAGGAAACCCATTCCACCAGGGCCTTCAGTCTGACACATAGAGTCCCATGGAGTCTCAGCAGAGCAGCTGCTCAGGCATGCACAGATGCCTGGGAGCTTCAGATATTCATGCTCTTCAGGCTTCCTGGCAAAAGTAGCTGCAACTCTGGCAAAGCAGGAGGTTAGATCCCCGTAACATATCTCTGGGAAGAGGCTGAATCCAGGGGGCTGAGCAGCCACGGTCTGCAGGCCCCACTTCCATGGCGCCTCACAGGATAAGATCCACTTGCTTGGAATTCCAGCCAGCCACGGTAGCAGCATTGTGCCTCCCTGATATGGAGCTCCCAGGGGGAAAGGTGGGCTGCCATCTTTACTATATGGGCAACTTAACTGTTCCAGCCTTTGGGTTTTGGAGCATCTGAGGTGACCAGAGACTGAAGTGAACCCCCAGAACAGCACATCTGCTCTATGAAAATATGGCCAGACTACTTTCATAAGCAGACCCCCAATCCCATTCCTCCTCACTGAGCAAGATCTCCCAACCAGGGTCTCCAGCCACCTCCTACAGATGCATTCAGGCCAGCAACAGCTCCATACCTCCCTGGGACCAAGATCCCAGAGGGAGGGGCAGGCTGCTGTCTCTGCTGTTTTGCAGCCTTCACTGGTGATACCTCCAGGTCCTGGAAAATCCGAGGTGACTAGGGACTGGAGCGAACCCCCCAGCATACTGAAACAGCCCTATAGAAAAGTGGCCAGACTGTTACATGGGTGCTCGTTCCCCTATCTCCTTCACAGGTCCTCCAGGCCTGGGCCTCTAGCCACCTCCCACCTAACGAAGGAGTAGCAACTCAGCAACTCCCTGGACAGAGCCTCCAGGAGCAACTGAAAGCCTCTCTGCTACTGCTTCTACGATGGAACTTTCCTTGCCACCCTTGGACTAACAAAGGAGCAAAGACCCTAAGTGCTTTATCCGCACCTCCAATAAGCTGTAGTCTACCGAAGGAGAGGAGGCTAGTCTATCTCCCACGGGTCCCACACACCTTCCACTGCTCATCACTAGACAGGGAACCCCTGGCTTGGGCCCACAGCACAGACCCTTCATCCTGAGTTAATTGCACTGAGCAATTGCTCACCTGCATCTCTTTGGGGTGGGGCCCTTAGGCCACAAGCAGAGTGATAGGACAGCAAGCCAGCTGATGTGGAGCCCAGAGGGCTTGGTGTGGGGGCATCTGTAGTGGAGCATGACCAGGGATGTCCATCTCCCTAGGCTCGACTCGCTCCCATAAGAGACTTTAGCCATAGGGGAGCTGTTGGGCCCGATCTCTGCAGGGCAGTCTTGCATATCAGACAGGGTTGGTTCGACCTGAGCATTCCTTGGTCTGCTGGCCTCTCCTTGGGCCCTAGCCTTGCCACACCTGCTTATAGGGCAGTCTTGGGTTCCCTGGGGACCCATACCATAGCTTCTACACTGGTGGACCATGCCTGAGCAGTGGAGAGCTCCAGTGACGTGGCCCCTATGGCCACATACGAGACTACACATTCCTTTCCTGAGCCCATGGCAACTCCCCACATCACTTTGCTGGTGCATGTCTGCACAACCAGGTTTTGCTTTACTTGCCCTAGCAGCACACAGGAATGCAGTATGGCCTCCTACCCCCACTGACTGCCATTGCAGATAGAACCTTGGCAGGCTCGGAGCCAGCAAGCCCCACCCCTGCCAGCACTCCACCCCTGCAATAACACTGCACAGAGAACAGGTAATCTTTCCACACCTTGAGTGATCACTCCTCTTTGTGGGGCAAAGAGAAGGCACCTAGACTTGCACTGGCCAGCACTCCGCCCCAAGCCACCACCACCCACTACCTCCAATGCAACAGCACACAGAGTCTTCAGCAGGCCCCTCCACACCCCCGCTTTCCCCCCTCCCCAGCTTCCTTTCCTCTGCCACTGTGGTAAATGCCTGCAGGAAGGCAGGCACCCTGGCATCTGCTAACACTCTGCTGCAGCTGCTGCACTTTGGTCCCCCCATCGCAGTGGACTCCAAGCCTTGAGGAGCCAGAGAACAAAGTCAGAGCCCAATACAATTCTCCTAGAGTTAGAACAGCTCCTAGAGAGCTGAGGACTGGCCCCCTAAAATCTCCCAGAAATGAATCTATTAGGCTGAATCCACCTTATTCCACAATCAAACCCTCAAGGTCATCAAATAGGATAAAAGAAAAAAAAATTCAAAGGTCAACAAACTCAAAGATTGAAGGTAGATAAGTGCACAAAGATGAAAAGGAATCAGCATAAGAAAGAACACTAAAAACTCAAAAATCCAGAGTGCCTTTGTTTCACCACATCACCTCTCCAGCAAGGGTTCAGAACTAGGCTGAGGCTGAGATGGCTAAAATGACAGAAGTAGAACTTAGAATATGGATGAGAATGAAGTTCATTGAGTTATCGGAGTACACTGTTATTCAATGCAAGGAAGCTAAAAATCACGATAAAACATTGCAGGAGCTGACAGACAAAATTGACGGTACAGAGAACGTAACCAACCTGATAGAGCTGAAAAACACACTAAAAGAATTTCCTAATGCAATCACAAGTATTAATAGCAGAATAGATCAAGTGAAGGAAAGACTCTCAGAGCTTGAAGACTGGCTTTCTGAAATAAGACAGGCAGACAAGAATAGAGAAAAAAAGATGAAAATGAATGAATGAAACCTCCAAGAAATATGGTATTATGTAAATAAACTAAATCTACAGCTGATTGGTGTACCTGAAAGAAATGGGGAGAATGGAACCAACTTGGAAAACATATTTCAGAATATCATCCATTAGAACTTCCCCAACCTAGCTAGAGAAGCCAACATTCAAATTCAGGAAATGCAGAGAACCCTAGTAAGATACTCTACAAGATCATCCCCAAGACATATAATCATCAGATTCTCCAAGGTCAAAATGAAAGAAAAAATGTTAAAGGCAGCTATAGAGAAAGTCCAGGTCATTGACAAAGGGAAACCCATCAGAATAGTAGCAAACCTCTCAGCTGAAATCTTACAAGCCAGAAGAGATTGGAGGCCAATATTCAACATTATTAAAGAAATTCCAACCCAGAATTTCATCTCTGGCCAAACTGAGCTTCATAAGCAAAGGAGAAACAAGGTCTTTTTTTTTTTTTTTTTTTTTTTTAGAACAAGTCTCATTCTGTCGCCCAGGCTGGAGTGCAATGGCATGATCTTGGCTTACTGCAACCTCCACCTCCCGGGTTCAAGTGATTTTCCTGCCTCTTCCTCCCAAATAGCTGGGATTACAGGCATGTGCCACCACACTTGGCTAATTTTTGTATTTTTAGTAGAGATGGGGCTTCACCTTGTTGGCCAGGTTAGTCTCGAACTCCTGACCTCAGGTGATCCACCCACCTCAGCCTCCCAAAGTGCTGGGATTACAAGCATGAGCCACCACATCTGGCCCAAGATCCTTTTTAGACAAGCAAATGCTGAGGGAATTTGTTACCACCAGACCTGCCTCACAAGAACTCCTAAAGAAAGTACTAAATATGGAAAGGAAAAACTGTTACCAACCACTACAAAAAAACACTCAAGTACACAGACCAGTGACACTATAAAGCAACCACATAAACAAGTCTGCAAAATAACCAGCTAACATCATGATGACAGAATCAAATCCACATGTATCAATATTAACCTTAAATGTAAATGGGCTAAATGCTTCAATGAAAAGGCACAGAGTGACAAGCTGGATGAAGAACCCAGGCCCCCATTGGTATGCTGTCTTCAAGGGACCCATCTCACGTGCAATGACACACTTAGGCTCAAAATAAAGGGATATAGGAAAATCGACCAAGCAAATGGAAAACACAAAAAAAGCAGGCATTACAATACTAGCTTCTGACAAAACAGACATTCAACCAACAAAGATCAAAAAAAGACAAGAGCATTACATAAGGGAAAGGGTTGAATTCAACAAGTTCTAACTATCCTAAATGTATATGCACCCAACACACGAGCACCTAGATTCATAAAGCAAGTGCTTAGAGACCTTCACAGAGACATAGACTCCCACGCAGTAATAGCGGGAGACTTTAACACCCATTGACAATATTAGACAGATCATTAAGACAGAAAATTAACAAAGATACTCAGAACTTGAACTCAGCACTGGATCAAATGGACCTGATAGATATCTATAGAACTCTACCCAAAAACAACAGAATATACATTCTTCTCATCACTACATGGCACATACTCTAAAATTGATCACATAATTGGAAGTAAAACACTCCTCAGCAAATGCAAAAGAACTGAAATTGTAACAGTCTCTCAGATCACAGCACAAATTAGAAATCAAGACTAAGAAACTCACTCAAAATCGTAAAATTACATGGAAATTGAATAACCTGCTCCTGAATGACTTTTGAGTAAATAATGAAATTAAGGCAGAAATTAAGAAGCTTTTGAAACTAATGAGAACAAAGATACAACATAGCAGAATCTCTGGGACACAGATAAG
This sequence comes from Homo sapiens, assembly GCF_000001405.40. Lineage (NCBI taxonomy): Eukaryota > Metazoa > Chordata > Mammalia > Primates > Hominidae > Homo > Homo sapiens. The sequence continues at coordinate 209,054,638 of NC_000001.11, forward strand.
GCTGTGTTAACAGAAAAAAATATAGCACTAAATGCCCACATCAAAAAGTTAGAAAGATCTCAAGTTAACAGCTAACATCACAACTGAAAGAACTAGAGAACCAAGAACAAATCTCAAAAGTAGCAGAAGAAATAACCAAAATTATAGCTGAACTGAAGGAGATGGAGACATGAAAAACCATTCAAAAGAGCAACTAATCCAGAAGCTAGCTTAAAAAAAAAAAAAAATGAAGTAGATGGCTGGGCACTGTGGCTCACACTTGTAATCCCAGCAGTTTGGGATGCCAAGGCAGGCAGATCATGAGGTCAGGAGTTCGAGACCAGCCTGACCAACACAGTGAAACCCCATCTCTACTAAAAATACAAAAATTAGCTGGGCATGGTGGCATTCACCTATAATCCCAACTACTTGGGAGACGGAGGCAGGAGAATCACTTGAACCCGGAAGGTGGAGGTTGCAGTGAGCCGAGATCATGCCACTATACTCCAGCCTGGGCAACAGAGCTAGACTCCATCAAAAAAAAGGAAGTAGATAGACCACTAGCTGGACTAATGAGGAAAGGAGAGAAGATTCAGATAAACACAATCAGAAACAACAAGAGAGATATTACCGCTGATCCCACATAAATACAAACAGCCATCAGAGAATATTATGAACATCTCTATGCATATAAACTAGACAATCTAGAAGAAATCCCTAGACACATACACCCTCCCAAAACTGAATGAGAAATAAATTGAATCCCTGAACAGACCAATAATGAGCTCTGAAATTAAGGCAGTAATAAATGGCCTATCAACCAAAAAAGCCCAGGACCAGATAGACTCACAGGTGAATTCTACCAGATGTACAAATAAAAACTGATGCCATTCTTACTGAAATTATTCCAAAAAAAAAAAATTGAGGAAAAGGGACTCTCTGTAACTCATTCTATGAGCTAGCATCATCCTGGCACCAAAACCTGACAAAGATACAACAACAAAAAAAGAAAACTTCAGGCCAATATCCTTGATGAACATCTATGCAAAAATCCTCAACACAATACTGGCAAACCAAATCCAGCAGCACATCAAAAAGTTTGTTCACCACAATCAAGTAGGCTTTATCCCTGGGATGCAAGGTAGGTTCAACATACACAAATCAATAAATGTGATACATCACATAAACAGAACTAAAGACAAAAACCACATGATTATCTCAATAGATGCAAAAAAGGCTTTTGATAAAATTTAACATGCATTCATGTTAAAAAAAAAACTCTCAATAAACTAGATATTGAAGGAACACACCTGAAAATAATAAGCCATAATGACAAACCCATAGCCAACATCATACTGAATATGCAAAAGCTGGAAGCATTCCCCTTGAAAAGCTGCACATAACAAGGATGCCCTCTCTCACCACTCCTATTCAACATAATATTGGAAGTCCTAGCCAAAGCAATCAGGCAAGAGAAAGAAATAAATGGCATCCAATAGGAAGAGAGGAAGTCAAACTATCCCTGTTTAAAGATGACATAATTTTGTGTCTAGAAAACCCCATAGTCTTGGCCCAAAATCTCCTTCAGCCAATAAACAACTTCAGCAAATTTCAGGGCACAAAATCAATGTATAAAAATCACTAGCATTCCTATATACCAACAGCCAAGCTGAGAGTCAAATCAGGAAGGCAATCCCATTCACAACTGCTACAAAAAGAATAAAATACCTGGGAACACAGCTATCCCGGTAGGTGACAAGTCTCTACAATGAGAATTACAAAACACTGCTCAAAGAAATCAGAGAAGACACAAACAAATGAAGAACATCCCTGGCTCATGAATAGGAATAATCAATATTATTAAAATGGTCATACTGCCCAAAGCAATTTACAGACTTATTGCTATTCCTACCAAAACTACCAACAACATTCGTCACAGAACTAGAAAAACTGTTTTGAATTCATATGGAACCAAAAAAGAACCTGAATAGCCAAGGCAATCCTAAGCAAAAAGAACAAAGCTGGAGGCATCACGCTACCCAACTTCAAACTATACTACAGAACCATAGTAACCAAATTAGCATCGTACTGGTATGAAAATAGACACATAGACCAATGGAACAGAATAGAGAACCCAGAAATAAGGCACACCTACAACTATCTAATCTTCCACAAACCTAACTAAAACAAGCAATGGGGAAAGTATTCCCTGTACAATAAATGGTTCTGGGATAACTGGCTAGCTATATGCAGAATATTAAAACTAGACCCCTTTCTTACACCATATAAAAGATCACCTCAAGATGGATTAAAAACGTATAAGTGTAAAATCCAAAACTATAAAAACCCTGGAAGACAAACTAGGCAATACCACTCAGGACATAGGTAGAGGAAAATATTTCATGTTGAAGGTGCCAATAGCAATTGCAACAGAAGCAAAAATTGACAAATAGAATCTAATTAAACTTAGGAGCTTCTACACAGTAAAATAAATTATCAACAGAATAAACAGACAACCTACAGAGTGGGAGAAAGTTTTGTAAACTATATATCCAACGAAGGTCTGATATCCAGCATCTCTAAGGAACTTACACAAATTTACAAGAAAAAAACAAGCATCCCCATAAATAAAGTGGGCAAAAGACATGAACAGACACTTCTCAAAAGAAGACATTCATGCACCAACAATCATATGAAAAAAAGCTCAACATCAGTGATCATTAGAAATTCAAATCAAAACCACAATGAGATACCATTTCACACCAGTCAGAATGGCTATTGTTAAAAAGTCAAAAAATAACAGATGTTGGGAAGGTTTATGGAGGGAAAGGAACATCTGTACACTGTCTGTAAAGTGCAAATTAGTTCAACCATTGTGGAAGACAGTATGGTGATTCCTCAAAGACCTAAAGACAGAAATACCATTGAACTCAGCAATCCCATTACTGTGTATATACCCAAAGAAATATAACTTCTATTCTATAAGTTCTATTATAAAGACACACCCACCTGTATGTTCATTACAGCACTATTCACAATACCAAAGATATGGAATTAACCTAAATGGCCATCAATGATAGACTGGATAAAGAAAATGTGGTACGTATATACCATGGAATACTATGCAGCCATAAGAAAATAATGAAATCATGTCTTTTGCGGGGACATGGATGGAGCTGGAGGCCATTATTCTTAGCAAACTTATGCAGAAACAGAAAGCCAAACACCACATATTCTCACTTATAAGTGGGAAGCTAAATGATGAGAACACATGAAAACATAAAGGGGAACAACACACACTGGGGCCCATCTGAGGGTGGAAGGTGGGCGGACAGAAGATCAGGAAGAGTAACTAACAGATACTAGGTTTAATATCTGGGTGATGAAATAATCTACAACAAACCCCCATGACACAAGTTTGCCTATGTAACAAACCTGCACATGTACCCCTGAACTTAAAAGTTTAAAAAGTTGCTGAATTGACAAATAAAACTCTAAAATATTACAAATGTGAAAGACTCTTCTAGCAATGATGAGGAAAGTTGAAGAATGCTTGTGGTTTACATCTTAACCCTTAGGAATTAAATGCAAACTAAAGTGTATCTGAACCATTTCATTCCTAAGAAAATAATACTGCAGACCTAAGTCAGGGTCACAGTTGGGGCTACTTGACCATGTTCTTGCCCTGGCCTGTTTGTCATTAAGGATGCACTTAGGCCAGGTACGGCGGCTCATGCCTGTAATTCCAGCATTTTGGGAGGCCAAGGAGGGCAGATCACCTGAGCCCAGAAGTTCGAGACCGGCCTAGGCAGCATGGCAAGACCCAGTCTCTATGAAAAAATACAAAAATTAGCTGGGCATAGTGATGCACACCTGTAGTTCTATCTACTCAGAAGGCTGAGGTGGGAGAATCACCTGAGTCATGATCGTGCACTGCACTCCAACCTGGGTGACAGAGTGAAACTCCATCTCAAAAATAATAATAATAATGATAATAAATTAAGGATGCATTTTTCCTAAGGCAGCTGCAAAGATTAAGAGGCTCTGCCCACAAAATGCCAACTATGAAAACACCAGCTCGTTGGTTTAAATGATCATTCCCAGCCTGCACCCATTATTTTTCCTGCAATGCCTGCTTTGGGATCACCTTGTGAGTTATGTAGAATGACACAAAGATTTGAAAAAGAAATCCCAATAAACAGAACCTTTAAATAATAGATTTTCTTCCTTGGACCCAGCTTGTGAAAGAGCCACATAGGACTTTCTTACCACCCTCTGTACCATACTAGAAATAAGGTGAGAAGTTTGGGCTGCTGTCTCATGGTAATAGATCAAAGAAATGAACCAGCCACCCACTGTCCAAAAATAATCATACTTCTCTTTACCTAGCTAAGAAGGAAGAGAAAGAAGAGAAATTGTGAGCTTTGCCAATTGTATATTTTTCCTCCAAGAAAGATTTCCTTTGAGTTGTTCTAGACTAAAAGCTATTAACACTTCTTTTTAAAGTTCTAGAGAAGCTGTAAAATACCTTAATATTTTATTCCCTTCATTGTCAGAGATTATCTCTTCCCCAAGTACTTGAAGATCTGAAGTAGAAATCTGCAACATTTCTTCCAATTCAGTGTGCATTTTTGGATGTTGTCGTTCTGGTGCTAGCAACCAACATGCTTACATGTAAAATTATATGAACTGCTAATATCCAAAGGAATACAAAGCCTTATCAATAGGCAGCTGCAGAACTCTGGCTTCCTGTGTGAATCTAGAGAGCTGTACCAGGAGGGAGAAAGTGAGGGCTCCTGAGGTGTCAGAGCATCTGCTTCTACCCAATACCTAGGGGCTTTCTTGAACAGGCAAAAATGGGAGAACACAGGAGGGAAGCCAACTCAAGGCTGTAAAAGAGAGAGATTTATAACTGTTTCTTGGAGCTGAAGATTCCATGAAAGGTCCCTGCTGTGCAAAGATGACCCCTACGTAAAAGGGGAGGATTCAGCCATTGCAGACATCAGACAAAGAAGCCAGCCCTCCTTGTGGGCAAAGACGGAGCTCCACTTGGGTCTCATTATCTCCTTCCTGCCTTTAAGGCCCCTTCTCTTTGATGCCATCCCATTGGCCCAAAGGCAAGCTAAGACAAAAGATTACCTTCCAGAAAGGACAATTTTTTAAAATTAAATGCTAATTAGAGTCTCCCCTATTCTTCCAGAATAATCTGGTATTTTTATTTCTTGGGCATAGGTTGTATACGTCCTCAAAAACAAAAGAATGCTTGCCTCTAAAATTGCCACCAAAATTCAACATATCTAGACCCTCCATCACCTGTTAGACACAAACAATAGAAGAAATGATTCTTTGAGAGGATTCTTGCCCCGCAGGCGAGTCAGCAAATGCATGCAACTGGCAGATATGCAGCAATGCGCTACATACACTGTTGGCGATTTAGGGGCTATTCAACATGCCTCTGTCTCTAAAACACTTATAATCTAATGACTGTACAAATTAAATAAATAAAATAGCAATGCGAGGAATAGCACATGGCTATTTCAAAAGGGATGAGACAAGTCATATAAACATAAGCACTGTGGAGACTGGAGCGGGAGAGAGATTAGGTTTGGAATGGCAAGAAAGGCTACATCAAAAAGAGTGTGGAGCTGGTCATTAAAGGATGGAGAGGATTTATACAAGTTTAAAGTACAAGAAAGTACAGCCAGGGGATGGCATTCTATGGATGACACGTGGGAGTTGGAGCAGTACAGGCAGTTAAAGCAAAGACAGGCAGTGCACCCAGGCTGTGGATTCTGCCTCTTGCGGAGTGCACCCAGGAGGCTCTCATCTGCACGCTTATTACCAGCCCCTGAAGTACTCCATTATTTTATTAGTTCCCCATATAAATTATTTATCTAAGAGATTGCTGATGCTGACCAGCTCTGATAAGTAATGTCTTCTTTGGGAAATGCTGCTGGAGGGACTAGAGTCTCCTGTGACTGCCAAAACATTGAAAATCAATTTTAATTCCTTGTGTGTGTATGTGCGAAGGTCTTAGAGAATGGGGGTTGTTCAGATGGTGGCTGCCCTTTCTAGTGGGTCTCCATCAGATCTCCAAATTAAATTTCTGGGGGCAACGTTAAAGAAGTCGCTTGGGATGCAACTTCTGGTGGTGTTTGCTATAAAGCAACTCATAATCACTTGACTGGGAGCAGCACATTAAAAGTCACCTCATTTTATCTCCAATATGCTTCCTTTGAAAAAAGTCACCTTGCAGCCACTTTTGCAGAACAATTTGTTAGTGTATTTACCTTCTCCTCGTCATTCAGGCTTAGCTTAGCAGTCAGAAGGAGAGCATTACTTTTCAGCCTGTTTCTAAAAGCTCATAAAAGCTGTCCACAACTGCTTTTGCTTCCTGTACCAGCAAATGCCTCCCTTTACTACTCAGCTGCCAGTGTTTTCTTTGGTGCTCTATGGGGCTGCCCTGCTTGTTAATGATGGCAACAAATAATTGCCAATAACACGCCCCTTTTCAGGAAACCTGAGCTATAGTCAGTAAAAATGTACAAAGCAGATATGCAGCCTGATGTGGGGAGAGCAGACATTAAATGAAGTGGGATGGTGGCTTGATTCACTTCACAAAATATTCTTCCATGTACGTGGCAGGCTTCCTTTGTGCCCTTTCAAATCTGACTCAACTTACAAAATTAAACACAAGTCACCTTTTCCTCTATCAAAGTAGAGATAACATATAGATTTCACGAATCTAACATCAGGCTTTGCCTGTGGAAGAACAATTAATGTCAACATAGGTGATGTACCCATTTGACCATATTGGGTATCCTGAGCCTTCAGCATCCTGGTCTCAAATATATATATAATGTATGTGTATATATACATACACATGGAGAAAAACGCAAGTAAGTTCACTGTGTATGTTCACCATGTGCACTGTGGCTGCCTCTGAGCTGCATGGGTGAAGTACATGGCCCGTGAGGACTCTTACTGGAGCTGAGCACCCTCAGACCAAGGCAGCTGGACCACAAGGGAAAGGCCGCCAACCCCTGGACCTTTACTTCAGATCTCTCCTGGAATATATGTATATATACATATATACACATACAGTACATAACAGAGATGAGATATATATGAGAGACATGAGAGATATATGAGAAAGATATGCGAGAGACATGAAAGAGGTGAGAGATAAAGAGAAGTGAAGGGGGTGACAGAAAACGGGGTGAGAAAGAAGTGAGACGTGAGAGAAAGGGGTAACAAAAAGAGGGGTGAGAAGGGAGGTGATAGGGAGTGAGGGGGGTTGATGGAGGTGCGAGAGAGGTGTGAGACAAAGAGATGGGTGAGAGGCGGATGATATATATACACATCTCCATGGTTTGGCAACGTATCTGGACAATTCTACAGACTTCTGCATTCCATTCCATTTCGTGTAGCGCTTGCTACATACTGAGCATGAAAACACCTACAACACTTATAAAGCTTCCACCAGAAGCTATGTTTATAAAGCTGCCATCCTTTCTGGAATTTCCTGTACATAGAGACACATTTGAGCCCATATTTATGAGCTTGGACTGTCTCCTGTGTTTTACGGACCATGTCATCGTGGAGGTAACCTGAGATCTGCAGTGGACTTGCCTCTAATTCCAACTTGCGTTTTTCTCCATGTGTACCTTGAAGTTAAAAAAGACCACTCAGAATTGCTTTCAGCTTCAATAGTCACATTCACAAAGACATTAAGGGGCTAATTTCTCTCCGGCATAAGAAATCCAGAGGGAGGCTGTCCTCTGGTGCGGGGACCACCCACCCTGTGCTCCTGCACTGCCCCCTCAGTGGTCATCTGTCATCCGCATGGTCACAGGGAACCTCTACACCTCCCAGCTTCAGCTCTTAGAAGAGGGTAGAAGGGCAGTGAGCAAGGGGAAAATGCAAGAGCCAGATGAACCTGTACCCCTCCCCCAAAGCCTTTCCAGAAGTTTCATCCAGTGACTTCTGATATCTCACTGGCTGGAACTGTTTTATTCAGCCACCTCTATTTGCAAAGAGGGACTGGGAAATAACTAGACTCTCTGTCACCCAAAACAAAGTCAGAGTTATAATACAGAAAACAGAGAGAAGAGTTGTCAGGCAGACAAGCTACAGTATCAGCCACAAACAGCAAGAATCCTTTTCTTTCTTTAGACACAAACTACAGCATGAAAATTAACATATGTTCCATAGGCTACAAATGAGAAATAATCACATTTCTTATAATGCCAACTAGAAATCTTCCTCCCCTGTTTTTCTTCTGCTGGCCTTGCAGATTTCTTACAGTTGGTGTTTACTGTGGCCAAACCTAATTCATTCATTTATGAAGCTATCTCAGGCACCAGCAGATGTCATAAACTATTCATCTCTGGAATGTTTATATTTGAGAAGGTCACAGTATTGAGTATATGTATACCCCAAGGCCTCCTCTCTCTGTTTCGGCCTCTTGTGGCCTAGGCCTGCTATTTTCCTTTAAACAGTGAAATGAGATGTACACAGCTCAAAATACATATTGGTGTTTTCCCACAAGCTCCAGAGAACTCCCAATAACAGGTGTGGATGCTCTCTGACTCTTGGTTCTCCTCTCCATCTCTCTAGCCCTCCCCACCAATTTCCATCATCTGCAAGTATCTAATGATTAAGACAACTTTACTCTTTGTCACCATTAAAACAAAACAAAACAAAACAAAAACACTGAACATTTCTGGGCTCTTAACCTCAAAATGCAGAAGAGGGGAAATTTCAGCTCCTGGTTCTTTCATTCAGAAACCCCAAATAAGAAGGGAGATTAAAAGAGAGCAGTCCCACCTTTTCAAGGCATAGTGGGCCTGGAACCCCCTCTACAACACAACCCTTTGCTCATTTGCCCTTTGGCATGGTGTTAGAGCTGAAATAGATATGGGCAGTCACGCACACAGGTGAGGGAGTTATGACACTCGTCCTGCTGGAGATGGGCTTTGGAGTGAAGACTGCCATGCCCCAGAAACGTTGATTTATTTTCCATGGCACTTTAATTTGAATTAAACCAGAGCAATAACTGATAAACATAACCGAACCTATTTTAACATGAGGACAGTGACGTTTAACAGTGACAAACGCAAGCACCCAAAGCCAAGGTCACCTCTGATTACTGCTTGCAGTTTCTAGTTCCATAAAGCATAGTCTAGTTCCTCCCACTTTTCACCTCACACTCAAGATCCCTTCAGGGGTCGCCTTCTCTCAGTAGATTTGGTTTTGTGGCAAGCCTGCCCCACCCAGCTCCCACTGCCGCCTGCTCCTCTGCAGCCGCTGGCTCTTGATCATCCCTGCCTACTCTCCCTGAGGCCTCCACTTGCCTGTCAGCTCCCAGAGTCCCGCGATGCAGCCCTCTTTCCACGTTGCTGCTACCACTTGCAGGCCTCAAAGTCTTGGGGGAGGCAGGTGTTAGGGAAGCAACTCTCCTCTTCACTGATAGAGGCCCACACAGTGCTTGGTTTGCATTCCACCCAACGTTATTGACGTCATTAGCACAAAGGTTTGTGCTAGGAAACCATTTTACTGAAGGCTCACATGGATAACGTCAGGGCAATGTCAGATATTCTGCATAGTACAGATCTAGAGCTACCAACGCTGCAAGGCACACATTGCTATCGTTTGGATCTGCAAAGCCCACAGCCAATTCTCAATCGAGTCCATTCTCCCTTCTATTCACAGCAAGGAACCCACCAGAACTCCACTCCAGGGGAAATCTTCCTCACCACTAGCATCAGAGCAGACACATCAGAACAGTCTCTCTGGCCCCAGGGAGAATATGCTTTTACATGACTGTGGTTTTACACAGACACTTAACTTCCCGATTTTAGATGAGACCCAAGGCTATGGCTTTTATGACCCAAAAAAACCCATTAAAGTGTGTTCCTAAACAAAAGAATACATTTTCCCCTGAGGTGAGGTAAATGCTGTGACTCCCCTAGAACAGAAAAAAAAAAAAAGCATCTATATTTAGTTCCTTATTTAATAGTAAGTTCCCTTTCACTGAATCTGCCTTGGGAGCTGTGACTGTGTGTTCAGAGCTCCAGATTCCAATTCCAGTGCTGTCACAAGCTGTATGACTTGGGACAAATGCTCCCATTTCTTTAGGTCTCAGTCTGGGGTGGAGTTGTGGGGAGATAAATGATCTCTAAGACTTCTAGCATTAAAATTCTAAAATGTCATTCAAGACTTGGTCATAATTGAGAAATCAAAAACATCAAGATTCACATGTCTCAAAAAATATTTCTGGCTTGGGAATAAGGCTAAATTTGCCTACGATTCTCCTCAGGCAGAAGGGCAGGATTAGAGGGTTGGAGCACAATTGAATGCAAAGCTATTTCAGCAGCCCTGGGTTCCAGCTGAGAAGCCCAGCAAGCAGGCTTCTAATAGCCTCCACTGACCCCATAGAGAGCTGACTTTGCTCCCTGGGGGTGATATTGGAGAGCTGATGCCTTACAGGCAGCACAAGCAGGAATTTTATTATTATTGGTTTTGCAATTTGTTCGCATTTTGCTGTCATTTGCCTTGGTGGCCGTGGACCTCGACATTAAGATTTCGATTCCATTCCCCCCGGGGCTTCTGTGCTTTATGGAGATCGCTAGTGTTTGCCGTCTTTATTGAAGTTGGTGTACAGCCCCTGGCTGCTGTGTTGAGCATAATCAAATGTCATTTATGAAGTCCTCCTGCCACTGGAGGACTGAGAGCTGTGTGCCCCATGCCTGAGCAACTGGAAGAGACAGGCAACCACAGAAGCGGACTTTCAGGTGCTGATAAATTACGAGGCTGAGGCTTGATTATTTCTAACCCTGGCTTGCCTGTTGTGAGTTATAGGTCACTTAAGTCTGCTCCAATGAGTTTCTTCTGGCTGGGAGTGATCTCAGGTGCTGCCTGACAACTGAGCCATATTCCTCTTCCTGTGTCTTTTGCCTAGAATAAGCAGGCCACGAGAGGCAACACAAACAGAACAAGCAACAGATGTAGATTCTGAACAGCTTTCTCACCCTGGCTCAGCCATACTTTCACTGTGTAACCCTGACAAAGTCATTTCTCAGCCTCAGTTTACTTATCCATAGAGTTATCTTTTGATTAAATAATCACTGAGGATCATTGTATTCTAAATTGTTCTTTGTTACTTTGATGTAATATTTCATCCTGCCTTCATTTTGGATGCCCGACTCCTGACTTATGTGCATGCCCTTCTTTCTGAATCTTTCTGATTACGTTACTGCAAATTCTATAATTTTGGTATTTGATCTTGGAATGATTGTGACCTACTCAATAACTTTTCTTCCAAATTCTTTTTCCTCTGGTTCCTGACACTAACTGGAACTCCATTAATAACTGTAAATCCATTACATATACTCACTAAGGTCACTAATGGCCTGCATGTTGCAAAATCCAATGGACTCATTTTAGTTTCTTCTCTTACTTGATATCTCAACAGAAACCAATACAGCTAGCCACCCTTCTTTCTTGATATATTTGCTTTGATAATGTCATGAGCTCCTGCTTTTTTCTCAATCTCACTGGCTACTTCTCATTTATGCAACCTCTAAATAATAACTATCTGCCAACTCCCACGCTTATATCTGCAGGTCATACTTCTGAGTTCCAGATCCATACATACAATGTCTATTTAGCATCTCTGTTTACATGTCCTACAGACTCCTCAAATTCATTGTGCACTGAACTAAACTCCTTATCTTTCCCCCACCTAAAATTGGCTTCTTCCTAGAGAGTTCAGGTAAATGGCATCTCAATTCACTTGTTAGCCCATGACAGTAACCTAAGAGTCATCCTTAACAACTCCCTTTCCTCCATCCAATTCAATGGTTTATACTTTCTAAATCTATCCCAAATAAATCATGTACTTTCCATCTATCTCCATAATCATGCCCAGTCCACGTCACACTTCTTCCAGGTCACCACGAAGGTGTCCCTGCTTCTAGGATTACTCCTGGTCTTAATTCATTCTTTTTACAGTAATTTATGTGATCATTTCTAAATACAAATCTGCCCCCCTCACTGTCCTGTTTACATTCCTTTATTGGGCTTCCATTGCTTTACAGGTTAAAGTTCAAAGCCTTCTATGTGACTTCCAAGGTGTTACATGATGGGTGGATTCCTTTGGGAACACTGGCCTCTGATCTTCTTCCAATTCTGCAAATTTTCTGTGCCATTTATAGCCTTGCAGATTTGAAAGATGACCTTCCCTCTCCTTGAAATACAAATTTTCACCTGGCCACCTTCACCTCCTACTGACTTTTCATTACAAATCTTCCATCTAAATCAAGTGTTCTCTCATTCTCCCCCATAACACCTTATAATGTTTCTTCATACAATCATTGCTATTTTAAATTATACACAGTTGACCTTCAAACAACATATAAGTTGGGACACCAACCCCCCACACATAGTCAAAAATCTGTATATAACATTTAATTCCCCCAAAATTTAACTGGTAACAGCCTACTGTTGACTGGAAGACTTATCAGTAACATAAAACAGTCAATTAACACATATTTTGTATGTTATATGCATTACATACTGTATTTTTTTTTTTTTGAGATGGAGTATTGCCCTGTCGCCCAGGCTGGAGTGCAATGGTATGATCTTGGCCCACTGCAATCCCTGCCTCCCAGGTTCAAGCAATTCTTGTGCCTCAGCCTCCCGAGTAGCTGGGATTACAGGTGCTTGCCACCACACCCGGCTAATTTTTTATATTTTTATTAGAGACAGGGTTTTGCCTTGTTGGCCAGGCTGGTCTTAAACTCCTGGCCTCAAGTGATCTGCTTGCCTCAGCCTCCCAAAGTACTGAGATTACAGGCATGAGCCACTGAACCCAACCTATACACCGTATTCTTACCATAAAGAAAGCTATGGAAAATGTTAAGAAATCATAAGGAAGAGAAAATATATTTACTTCATTCATTGAGTAAAACTAGATAAATAAAGGTCTTCATTGTCTTCATGTTGAGAAGGCTGAGGAGGAGAAGCAAGGTGAGGGGTTGGTCTTGTTATCTCAGGGGTGGCAGAGATGAAAGAAAATCCACATACAAGTGGACCTGCAAAGTTCAAACCTGTGTTGTTCAAGGGTCAACTGTATTATTTTATTTGATTAGTTAATATTGCTCTCTGTATTTAGACTATAAACTCCCTCAAGGCAGTGCCTATGTGTGTTTTCTACTTCTCTCTACCTCTGATGCCTTTTTCTGAAGCTCTTATATATTAAAGAATCAATGTTGAATGACTTAACACATCCTAATTTCTGTTCATTCAATAGCTGCCTACTTGCTATAACTCTGAACCTCTTGCCCTAGTTTTTGACATATTAGTTTAATTAACGTCTTTGTAGCAGGATGTTAAACTAGAAGTTTTATCCAAGTTGCAGTTATAATGGACACCAAGTTCAGGTACACAATCAAGATGCCAACTTTCAGAGGAAATGATAAGAACCAGTGTTATAATTCTTAGATAGCCCCCGTCTTTCTGTCCACATTAATGATACAAGGGTTGAGAGAATGAATATGGGGAGAATATTTGTGATGAGCATCTCTTTGGAGATAGTGGTGTTATGAGCATTCCCTCTTGTCCACCTAACTTCAAGAGAAGAGTCACATGGAAATAATCAATGGGCCTCGTATGTGTCCCTACAGTTAAATGGGGTTGGAGTACCTGCAGTGGGCTGATGTCTTATTGCCATTCTGGAAATCTAGAAAACAAAAGATAAGCTGGCAGCTGCATTGGTGGTAAAACAAAGAAGGGTTTCTTCTATGTTGACATGCTCAAAGTTTGACTGATCAAAGGATACCAAACAGAGTCAGAATTAGGAGATTTAAAATGCTTTTTAAAATAGTTCACCTAAATGGCACTAAGACCTTAACAAAGAGAATCTGGAAGTAGACTGTTGATTTTTAAGGACTGAAGAAGAACAAAGTCAGATAGAGAAGCATATATCCAGATTAAGGAAATTCCAGATGAGAGACTATCTATGATGAGAAGTTTCCAAAGAGCATACAAAAGAGTCTCATGATAGAGACAGACAGACGTAAACATCTCTCAGGCCAACATCTCTCATCTCCTGTAACAGTGCCTGTAAGCTAAAAACTTCTCCACTCCTCTTATGTCTCCTTACATCCATACCACCTCCCATATTCCATAGTCCAGTTTAACCTGGGAGGGTCAGATAGAAAAAGAGAAGAAACCAACCACATCATCTTTCCCCAAGGCAGGAATCTCATCTGCAACATGCCACTAGCAGAAAAGAAAGTGAAAGAGTAAAATGTGACCTTTTGATGAAGCTGAAGTCTTTTGTTATTAATATACAGGAATGGACATTTTTAATTTCCAAACTGAGTCTGTGTTTGCAATTTTAAGTAAACATAGATTTTTTCTTTCCTGAAACTGACCAGAAAAGTCAAGCTGTTTATCCTAGTTTGTATCCATGGAAAGGCAGAGCCACTACCACTGAGCAAGTGTGAAAGAACAGTAGAAGATAAATATAAAAGTGCTTTATGATCAAATCCCATGAGGCCTGACTATTCATAGTTACAGCAACATCTATAATGCTGTGAGTAAATAACGCTTTTGAAGAAATAAGAGACATTTTGTACTTTTGATAGGTTCACGATATTTGAAGTATGTTAGGCTACTATAGCAAAGAAACCTTCAAAATGTATAATACAAATGCACACACAAAATTATTTCTTGCTGGTTGGATGAACAGTTGGCAATTATTCAAGGACCCAGACTAATGGAGGCTATGCCATTGTCAAGATGTGGGTGTTATTCTTTATATATTCTCATTTCTGCCACCTTGAAAACACAATGAAGAAGACATGCATGGGAATTTTCAGAGGCCAAGCCTGGAAGTGGCACACGTCATTGCTGTGTCACCCTCCACTGGCAGGACTTCTATCACATAAATGCACCTACCAACAAGAGAGGCTAGACCCACAGTCTTTCTTCCCAGGAAGTAGAAAGCATAGACTTCAGTGAGAACCTAGCAGTTTCTGCTGCATGGAGCATTATAAAACTGTAATTATATGTTGCACTGATGCTCTCTGGCCTCATCAACCCATGGATATAAATGAGATTACATTAATATTTATGTCCAAATTTGCAAAGACATGTATATCAACTGATTGACCATAGACCCTCAATGCCCCCTGTAAAAGCCTGTGCAGTTTGTTTGTGGGAGCTCCAGCAAGGTATTTAATGAGCTCAAAAATAATTCCATTAATGTTATTCTATTATGACTTCCTTATAGCAACAACAAAAATAACACCAATAATAGCAAACACTTTCTGAGACCTTTCCACCTGCTAGTCACTACTTTAAGCCTTTACATATATTTGTTAATTTAATCTTTAAATATTAGACCCATTTTTCAGATGAGGAAATCAAGGCACAGAGAGGTCAAGTAACTTACTGAAGGTTGAGGAGCTGGTGAGTGGCAGCGCAGGATACAAATCCACTCAGTCCAGCTCTAGAACTCCCTGCTGGGTCTCTATATT
Source organism: Homo sapiens (assembly GCF_000001405.40). NCBI lineage: Eukaryota > Metazoa > Chordata > Mammalia > Primates > Hominidae > Homo > Homo sapiens. The sequence continues at coordinate 209,070,165 of NC_000001.11, forward strand.
CTCTCTCCTCCCACACCTGGGTCACCAATATACTCTAAAAAAACAATAATGTCTATGATAAGGGTGTTGTCTTGGTCTGCTATCGTAACAAAATACCATTGCCTGGGTGCCTTAAACTGAAATTTATTTTCTCACAGTTTTGGAGGATAGGAAGTTCAAGATCAAGGTTCTGATAGGATTTGCTTTCTACTGAGGGCCCTCTTCCTGGTTTGCAGACAGCTGCCTTCTCACTGTGCCCTCGCATGGCAGAGAGAACAAGATCTCCGAGGTCTCTTCCTTTCATGAAGATACCAGCTCCATCAGATGAGGGCCCCACCTCATGACCTGACATAACCTTAATCACTTCCTGAAAGGCCCTGTCTCCAATTCAGTCACATGGAGGGCTTAAGGCTTCAACCTGCAAATTAGGGGGAGACACAATTCACTCCATAACATGTATTATCTTCTAGTCCTCCCCACACCATAAATCCTAGAGGTACCTGAACTCCAGAAATAGGAAGAAAGCCCCTCTCCTAAATTCAGCTCTCTCCTTTACCTACTAGATCCTGAGCAACAATATTCATGCTTGGAATTTCATAAAGCTTCCCAAGAAAACTATCCTGCAGCTCTCTCTATCATGAAGATCAATTCCAGCTCTTTCTCTCAGTATAGCACAGGAAAAGAAAGCTTCCCTTTCACTTTCCCCATGTTTTCCCAAGTGTTCATGTACAAAATTCCTTCCTTTCCTTTATCTCCCAAATAGAGACCGTATCCACACTCCACAAATATTAACTCATGCACACAGGCTGAAGGAGAGCTTTCCAGACGACCCCCACAGTCTGATGTTCAGTGTGGTTAGGCTGGTTCCTTCCGTTACCAGAGATCCTGGAGGATGCTTCCTTCACATATAGTCAAGTTGACCTGTCAGAGTGGGTGGAGTTGGGCACACAGCTTGTCAGTCATCCCTGTGTTGTAAATAAGCTGAACGCAGGATTCATCCCTCCAAGAGGAAATGAGGATATACTAACTGGGTGACCCAAAACAGAAAGAGACAGGCTATCTCAGACCATCAAATGAAGCTGTCATGATGCAGACAGGCTTCAGGGAAAATGGTGCGTGTTATCTAGGCCGTGTTGCCATTATGTATGACAGCTGCATGTCCTGAATTTTCTAGGTCAGTCCCGATTTCAAATATTCTATCACCTTGTCAGACCATGTATTCCGAATTTGCATTTGGAAAATGTGGCCACTAAATCCTTGGGACACTGGATCAGCATATTAGTTTAGGGGGGTAGAATCAGCCTGAATAGTATTGATGAATATGTTTTAGAAAAATCAATCTTTCCTCAGGGGCAAAATTAGAGCTTATAAACTGAAGTCACCAGACCTCTAGAAGGAGGAAAATAATGACTCTAAAGCCAGTATGAGAGTTTCTGCGGCCCTGGGAGGCATGTGTGAAACCAAATAGGGTAGGACTCTCTTCTTCGGCTGATGGGGCAGAGAAACTCTGAGGGAGAGTGGCCTCAGTGCCTGCGTGTGGGTACCCCCTTACCTCCAAGAGCCTCCCCCTGACAAGACAGAATGACCTGAGATGCTGGGCAAGGAATTGGCCTTAGATGCAGGTATTGGGAGAGAAACCTAAGGCTCCATTATTAATGTAGAATTGCACTAACAAAATCTAAGACAGATCAGAAATGTGAACACACCATGATTTAGTATCCATCCCAAGGAGAGGTGACAGAGGAATACAGGATGGGCGTACACATCGAAAAGGGGCAAGGACATTGGGGATGATGATCCCTTCCAGTTTCAGTCTGAGGCACACTTGGTACATCAGCCCCTACCCCTGTACTCCTACAACTCCTCTGAGCAATGAATCTTAAAACCCTTTACAATTTAAGCGATTTACCAAAATTAGCAATCCATGGATACATTTATTCCCCTTGTCTTCAGGTAAATATAAAACTAAGGTTCTCTGAGACTATGGTCATTTTTGATATTAAAATTTCTATAGAGGGAAAAACCACCAGTATCAATGTCTTGATTTCTGACTAAGAAAATGCTTTGTGTTGTCTACCACCAGTATTTCCTGCTTTAGGCAAAACCCATACCCAGGGCCTCTGTGAGCCTAGATAATTTTTGTGCAAATTAGAAAAAGTGCCTCGACCTCCAGGTGGCACAGCCCTCTTTCAGGGAAGCAGGTTTGGGAACAAAGTGCAGACTGGGCTGCAGAGCCACCTTACCCCGTGTCCGTGTGCTACCGTGTGTTCCAGGTCTGCCCACGGCCTCCCGCCCAGGTCTCATGGTGGTGGAGATTGTCAACTGGTCACAACCCATGCTTCAGGCATTTGTAATAAAACTTGCCAAATCTGAAGTAATTTAAAGACAGGATCAGAAAACTATCTCCATAGAGATATATGTTCTCCAGATAGAGAGCACCCACAGGTTGAACTGTTTCATACAAAAGTCAATTGTTTTTTAAGACCTCAGAGCTTTAGAGATTGTTGATGTTTCTAGAGTTACCATGGGCATGCCATTTAACATGGATGCTACAGGGACCACAAGGATGAATAGGGTACATTTTTTTCTCTTGAATCAGAACAGTTTTGTATGAGTGATAAGGTAGACATGCCTAAAAAGCCAATAAAAGTGCAATGCTGTATAAGTTTAAGTGTCAAGTGAGTGGAATTGAGATATGCTGCAGAAGTTCAGAAAAGAAGAGAACATCATGGGCCATAGGACTCACAGAGACTTCATGAAGAATTCAAATATATAAAATGGAGAAAGGAAGGGAAAGAATGATATATTTGAACAAAAATTGTCTAGTTTCAGGTGCAGAGGCAGTGAAAGGCAAAGAAGATGACAAGAACAAAACTTGAAGGTCTGAACTGAACCTGGGATTGCGGTCAATGTTCTTAGAGAAAAAAGTGATGAATATTGCGTATGCATATCTGGGAAGTAAATTTTTTTTTTTTAGACAGAGTCTCGCTCTGTCACCCAGGCTGGAGTGCAGTGGCGCGATCTCAGCTCACTGCAAGCTCCGCCTCCCGGGTTCACGCCATTCTCCTGCCTCAGCCTCCTGAGTAGCTGGGACTACAGGCACCTGCCACCATGCCCAGCTAATTTTTTGTATTTTTAGTAGAGATGGGGTTTCACCGTGTTAGCCAGGACGGTCTCGATCTCTTGACCTCGTGATCCGCCCAGCTCAGCCTCCCAAAATGCTGGGATTATAGGTGTGAGCCACCGCACCCGGCTCTGGGAAGTAAATATTTAAAAGACAACATTTATTTACAAAGTCAGCTAGGGGAACTCAAAACATCAGAGACTTAGTAATAGAACAAACACAAGTTCAAAATCCAGCTCCACTCCTCATGAGTTACATAACCATGACATGTTTCTTAAACTCTCCAAAACTCCATTTCCTTATTTGTAAAAGTAGAAATAAAAAATGCCAGTTATCTAAGATAATTAAGGAGATTGAAAGCAATACAGAATATATGTGTCTGCCATATAGTAGGTGTTCAGTACCCAGGAGCTCTTGGGATTATTTCAGCTTCAAAATCCTCTAACTATGAATGACCTGAAGGTAAAATAATCAATTTTATCTTTGACTTCTAAGACTACTGCAAACATCAATGGCTTCTATATGCATCAAAAATAACCAATTGTATATTGTAATGCAAGATGGACTCTTGTCAGGGTTCTTGGTTATAAACAACAGAAACTGATTCTGGCTATCTTAGGCAGAAACAAAGCTTATTGGTAGGGCATTAGGTAGTCCACTGCATTGACTAGGAACAGGGGTTCAGGAAGAACCAAGGCAAACAATGTTCAGCCAAGATCATGCCAAAGGCAATTGGCATAGCACACCACCACTGATGCCACCATTGGATGCCCACTACCATGCTGCTGGACTGCTCCATCCCAGCAATTGCACCACCATGCCACTGAACAGAACTCTGGCCTCCAGGCACCTGCTATGCCAAAAAAAGTCTCTAACTAACCCTTTGACTTATCCTCTTAGTGTTTACAATCTGACAGTGACATTTCATTAACCAAGCTTAAATTATATGTCCATTCTCTAGCTACCCAGGGTAGGAAGATAAAATGCCCCCACTACTTTATCTTCTGTAGTGAGAGATAAGTAGGAAACAGAGGCCCTCCTTTCCCATGCCTTGAGATTCTCCCAACATAGAAAAGGAGTATGGATGGCAAAATAGCAAAACTGCAAATGTCCAGTGTGCACTAGCAATCAAAATCTGCTAAATATACATGCACAAATCTGAAAAGAAATTAAGCAAGACCTATAGAAGAAAACTATAAAACTTTCCTCAATGAAGGAGAAGAGTCTAATATTAATGTCAAGGCATACCATGTTTCTGAAATAGAAGCCTCAATATAGTGAATATGTCAATCCTCTCCAGATCTACAAGTTCACTAAAATTTTCTATCAGAATTACAAGAGTTTTTATTTGTTCATGTTTTTTAAAATTTGACATTTCTAAAGTTTATACATAAAATGATTTATGTAAAAGAGCAAATAAATTTTTGGAAAAGAAAAATAAATGAGTGTTTGTCATACAGATATCAAAATACACTATAAACCTACAACTGTATGGCATGGTATTGACTCAGGAATAGATTCATAAGTAAGTAGCAAACTAGCACTCAGTCATTATACAAACAGACATTTAGTGTATATAAGAAGATATTTCAGATCAGTGGGGAATCAGGGATCAGAAAACCTTTTCTTTACAAGACAATATTATAAATATTTTAGACTTTGGGGGACAAAGTCTCTGTTGCAACTACTCAACTCTGCTACTGTAGTGTGAAAACAGCCATAGGCAATACTAAACAAATAGCTGTGTTCCAACAAAACTTTATGTACAAAAACAGGTACTGAGCAAAATGTGGCCTTTGGACCACAGTTTGCCAACTTCTTGTGTAGACTAGTCAATAAATAGTGTTGAAATTAGCTTTTTGGAAAAAAGTCTGAACTCTCCCACTATGCACAAAAATAAAATCCATTTAAATGCAAGCATCTAAATGTGAAAATGAAAACTATAAAAGTATCAGAAAAAAGTAGAAGACACAGAAACATGAAAAAAATTAACAGATGTGATTACATAAAGCTTTAAAGGTTCTATACTCAAAAGACTGAAAGTAATTATAAAACACCAGGAAAGACTGGGAGAAAATATTTGCAATGATTGTATGAAACAAAAGATTAATATCCAAAATATATAAATCACACCTACAAATTAATTTTAAAATATATAGACTAAATTTTTAAAAATACGAACAGGAAATTCACAGAAGAAATCAAATAGCCAATGAAGATTAAGTTGCTCAGCCTCACCAGGAATAAGAAAGAGGGCAGCCAGGCATGGTGGCTCACATCTGTAAGCCCAGCACTTTGGGCGGCCAAGGTGGGTGGATCACCTGAGGTCAGGAGTTCAAGACAAGCTGGCCAACATGGTGAAACCCCGTCTCTACTAAAAATACAAAAATGAGTTGGACGTGGTGGCACGTGTCTGTAGTCCCAGCTACTTGGAAGACTGAAGAAGGAGAATTGCTTGGACCCGGGAGGCGGAGGTTGCAGTGAGCCGAGATCGCACCACTGCACTTCAGCCTGGGTGACAGAGTGACACTCTGTCTCAAAAAATAAATAAATAAATAAAAAATAAGAAAGAGGTGAAAAATGTATACGCTTTTCTCTCTCTCTCTCTCTCTCTCTCTCTCTCTCTCTCTCTCTCTATATATATATATATATATATATATGTATATATATTTTTTCTATATTAGCAAAAAAAATCAGCATGGGCAAGAATACACAAAAATAGACAATCACGTACTATTTGTGAGAGAATGAGTTAACAAACTAATTTCTAGAAGACAGTAATATCTAAGACAATTTTTAAATACATACCCTTGGACATAATAACAGTACTTGTTGGGATCAACTCTAAAATGTTTGCATAGGTGTACAAAGATTTCTTTTTGCATAAGTTTGTTAACTTATGTTTACTTGTAATGGTGAAAAACTAGAAATACTAACTGCAGACCAAAGGTGGAACAATTAAGAATAAGGTAGACGTATTTGCTGATGTAAGACACAAATCCAAGAGAAAATAGCCAGATGGAAAACAATACAAATAAGAATTATAACACAGCATGAACTCATATTCTTAAAAAAAATTATACATTAATAGAAAAAATCATTTTTTAAGCAGGGCTGAAAAAATTCCCATAGTAGTAGTTACTTCTTGGAAAGGCGGGGCTCCAGGGAGGTAAATGTTAATGTTTTAATCTATATGTATGCCAGTACTGGAACCTTTTCCAAGATCTACTGTAGTTTATCAGGGAGGAACAGGACCCATCTCCAGCAGACAAATCTGCCTGCCGGTCCCTTGCCCTTTCATTTTCCTATATGCCTCTTTCTCACATCGGCCAGTGTGTCTTTTAATTTTGCTTATCAGTTGTTGTGAGTTGAATTATGTCACCCAAAATATATGTTCAAGTCCTAATGCTCATACCTGTGAATAAGACCTTATTCGAAAATAGGTTTTTGCCATTGTAATCAAGTTAAGATGAGGTCATGCTGAATTGGGGTAGGCTCTACAAGAGAAAGGAGAAGGATATTTTGACACAAAGACACAGAAAAGACACACCGATAGAAGATGACCATGTGATGAGGGAGGCAAAGATTGAAGTGCTGCAGCTGCTAGACAAGGAACTCCAGGGGGCACTAGAAGCTAGGAGAGAGGGGTGAAACAGATTCTCCCTCAAGCCTCCAGGAGGAAGCCACCCTGCTGACACCCTGATTTTGGACTTCAGGCCTCCTAAACAGTAATATAATAAATTTCCATTGTCATAGCCACCCAGTTTGTGGTAAGTCAGTACAGCAGTCCTAGAAAACTAATACAACGGTGTTTACCAAAAACTGTGTTTTTGATCCACCATCCAGTCTGTGCATGTTATCTACAAAAAGAAGAGCAGCCAAAAAGGTGTCTGATAATTGTCAGATATCTGATAATTGTCAATTATCAGACACCATTTTGGCTGCTCTTCTTTTTGTAGATACACATGCACAGAGTAACAAGTACAGGGTAACTATTACCCTGTTATGAATAGGGTTCAAACAGAGGTAGGATGACTACCAGCTAGGGTATTGTATGAGAGATTTCTGCACTGAAGGGTGGACTAGATGCCTTCCTAACGTTCATAAACGTAGGAGTCCATGAGTCTCTGTGACAGAACAGCATCGTGCTTAACAGCAAGGATTTGGAATGAGAAAAATCTGGTTTGGAATTCTGATTTCACTACACACTAACTACCTGACCTTGAAAAAATTTCTTAATTGCCAAGAGCTGAAAATAATAATGCTTTGTTGTTGTTGTTGTTGTTGTTGTTGTTGAGATGGAATCTCGCTCTGTCGCCCAGGTTGGAGTGCAGTGGAGCGATCTCAGCTCACTGCAAGCTCCGCCTCCTGGGTTCACGCCATTTTCCTGCCTCAGCCTCCCAAGTAGCTGGGACTGCAGGTGCCCGCCACCACGCCCAGCTATTTTTTTGTATTTTTAGTAGAGAAAGGGTTTCACCGTGTTAGCCAGGATGGTCTCGATCTGCTGATCTCGTGATCCACCCTCCTCAGCCTCCCAAAGTGCTGGGATTACAGGCGTGAGCCACCGCGCCTGGCCAATAATGCTGCTTTAATGCATCAGCATTCTTAGATAAAAGCAACTGACACTCCCTAATAATTCAAGAACAGAAATGTGTTAAAGGAATGTGTTAAAGGATATTGTATAGTTTACTGGAAGCACCAGCAATCCAAAGGCTGCCACTGAAGTCTCTAGAACTAGTTATAGTTACTGCTGTTGCAGCTACATGATACTAACTAGAAAAGATTTTTTTGGTAGCTCTTCCTTTTTCTTGTCAGTATGTAAAGTGAATGTCTCATTGGTGGAACCCAAGTCGTGGGCCCATGCCCTAGCTGCTAATGGGGCTGGAAATTGAATGATAATGGTAGCTATTATTTACCGAGTATTTACTACGTGCCAGGCACTTTTGTTGTATTTGCATATATTAATTCACTTAATCCCCACAAGAACTCTGTGAAATCAGTATGTCACCCCCATTTTCACTGATGAGGAAACAGAGGCACAGAAGAGCCAGGTAACTTAACCAAAGTACCCAGCAATATGTGCAGAGCTGGGATTAAACCCTAAATTATCCAGCTCCAGACCCTGCCATCATTGGGAATACTCCTTTCTGCTCTTCATCTGGCATTTTCAACATTGACAGAGGTGGTCACTGACCACTTCAAAAAGCAACAGATTCTTCAAACATAAAAAGAGGATTCAGATTCTGAATAGCCAAATAAAAAAAAAAAAAAAAAGAAACACAAATGTTTATTACCTTTGTCTACAACTTATCTCACAGAGCTGTCACATATTAAAAGAACAATGTGACCGGGTGCGGTGGCTCACGCCTGTAATCCCAGCACTTTGGGAGGCCAAGGCCGGTGGATCATCTGAGATCAGGAGTTCAAGACCAGCCTGGCCAACATGGTGAAAGCCTGTCTCCACTAAAAATACAAAAAGTAGCTGGGCATGGTGGTGCACACCTGTAATCCCAGCTACTCGGGAGGCTGAGACAGGAGAACCGCTTGAACCCGGGAGGTGGAGGTTGCAGTGAGCTGAGATCGTGCCACTGCACTCTAGCTTGGGTGACAGAGCGAGACTCCATCTGAAAAAAAAAAAAAAAAAAAGGAAAAGAACAATGCATACCTAATGACTAACACAGTGACTGGTGCAAAGCATCCCATCAGTGGAAATTGTTTTTGTAATAATTGTTTTGTAATAATAGTTGCTATTACCACGTCCTTCTTGACTTTGACCAACCACTTCTGGGCTGCTTCTGCCAGTTGTTACCTATTCTAGTATAGCTCTACCACTCACTCTCTGACCCCAGGCAAGTGACTTCACCTTTCTGAGCCTCAGTCTTCTCATCTGTAAAATGGAGATGTGTTTGGAAAGGGGCAAAACTGTGTTCTTTCCAGGAACCTTCCAATTTTGATGTTTTTCAACTCAGATCTTCCAGTCCCTAATGCCCAATCCCTTCCCATGGAATTCTGTAATTCTTATAATTCATAACTTACAATTTCATTCCAGGTTACATGCCACCTTCTACTGTTCTATAATCATTACCAGTTGTTTCCTCCTGAAATTGTGTTGCACAAAATGGCTTTTCAGAACATAGTGTTTTCTGGAAAGTAAATTGATTTTATACATAAGAGGTTTGTTGTGGCAGTCCTTTATGTGCACACACACACACACACACACACACACACACTCAATCACTCATCATCTGATATGATGCTCTGGTGCCCAGTCAAGTCAGGGCCGTACAAGGTAACTTGGTTAAGAAAGAGAAGGAGGAGTCTATCCTCAGTTGCCTCAGAAAATGTCCTGAAGTTTTTGTAGAAAAATGACAAGTTCCTTCCTCCTTTATTAACAAAAGGGACCTTAAAGGTATTGCATCTGCCCGTCTCTTGGAACAGCCTCTTAGAGTTCCGTCCCAACATCCTCCTCCATTTTCCCCCCTTATTTTTCATATTTGTTTCCAAGATAGTCAACCAGCAAGGGTTCCTTTAGTTTTCATTGCCAGATAGGATTCTTAGAGTGAAGATATTTTTGCACCTTGGTCACTGCAATTTATCTTGTAACTTTTAAATTTTTGCTTCCAAAAAAAGAAACTTTCTGACTTCTTCATCTTTAATCTCAAAGGTGCTTTCTGCTCAACATCTTTTCAATTTACATTTATAGTATTTTTATTCTATGTGAGACAGTAAGATCTTCAAAGGCTGTGCATTCATTTTTCATATTCAGGAAAATATCCATCTTTTTTATGTTATTAAATAATTAACAGGGCGAATTCTCGTACATAGTAACTACCTTCTGAGATACGCAACTCTAGCCCATTTACAGATAAGAAAAATGAGGTTTAGAGAGTAACATTACTAGCCAAAGGTCACACAACTAGGACCAGGTCTGGTCAGATGAAGACCTGGATTTTCAGCCACCCTGCCCAGTGTGTTGCCTGCTGCACCCCAGGGGCTCCCCTGATGTCACGTGGATGGAAAGGATTGTGTTGCAGACAACTGACTGGTGTGTGGACAGCACTCAGGCTATTCTGCAGTTGGTTACTCTGCAGCACAGGTTGGTGCCACTACAACCTCAAGGCCTGCTATCCCAGCTGGGCACTCAGCGCTGCCCAGTAATCCTGCAATGGTCTCTAGCTAGTTCCTGATCCAGTTATCCCCTCGGGGGTGCCACCCCAGTCATTCTCAGATGTGCCTTTGCTTATGTCATTATGGTGAAAATGCAAGCCTCCAGGCAACTTCTCAGCTCTCTCCTCCGCCTCCTGTACACAGATCTCCACTGTGCTTTTTCATTCTTCCTTCTGGTTTGCATTCCATGCATAGTTTCTCTATTAATGTTTTAGATCGCATCCCATTTTACCACCTCATGGATGTTGCTCCATCAATTATCCCTCTTGTTTACTCAACTTCTCCCTTTATAATGGTTCTTATTCAGCAAACAAATACCCTTGAATCTCTCCCATTAAAACAAAAGCTCAAACAACACAAATCAAAACAATACCTTCTTGCTCAACCTTCCTACCTCCCCACCTCCCCTCCTTCCCTTTATTACCTCCTTGAAAGTGTTAACTACATCAGCTGTTTCTAATACCTTATAAGTTCTAATTTCTCACATTCACCTTCCAACGATAACTCTCTCCGAATGTTGATCCTCCTTTGGACACCAAAGCCCACCATATGACTAAACTCTGTCTTTTAGAGACTTAACACTGTAGAATTCTTATTGAAACTTTCTCCTCTTTTGACATCTGTTGAGATAACTCTTTTCCAATTTTCCTTCTACCCTGCTGGCCACACTTTGGTTTCCTTCCTGGACTTCATCCTTATCTTTTGTTCTTCTCAGCCTTTACACTGTCATTAGGTGATCTCACTCATAACCATCTAGGAACGATAAATCCAAAATCCATATATTCAGCTCAAATTGCTTCCCTGACACCCTTATAGCCAACAGCTATACTGGTATATATTTCAGCATTCTTCTAGCCTTACATTCAAAATATCCCCTAAAGAATTATTTTGCCTTAGTTGCTGCTCTTGCATGCATATTGTGATTATATTCACAATCTTCGTAAATGGCACCACCCTACAAATAATTTCCCAAAGCAAAATCTTTGAGTCCTCCCTCCTCTTTATTCTACATACAAACAGTTCAAGCTGTTTATGTCCTACCTCTTAATATCTTTTTAATACATCTGCTTTCCTATCTTTAGCAACTGTTACTTTATTCTTGATCCCATCTGGATTGCTGCACTAGCCTCCTTACCCATCTCTCAACCTCCAGTCTGGCCTCTTTCCAACACATTCTCCTCCCTGATGGAGTAATCTGTCCAAAATATAAATCTAATCCCGCCACTTACCCCTATTAAAATCCTTCAATAGCTCCCTTTAGTTTTCAAGATAAAGTTCAAACTCCTTAGCTTAGCCCATAAAGCTCTTTGTGATCTCTCCCCTGAATAATACTCCAGCTTCCTTCCTCCCTACCCCACTATTCTACCTTGCACATCCCTTACTCCAACAATACTGAAGTACATGCAATTCCCTAAACCCATCGCCTTAGTCCGTTTATGTGGTAAAGCAGAATACCTGAGACTGGCTAATTTATCAAGAACAGAAACTTACTTCTCATAGTTATGGAGGCTGCGATATCCATGATCAAGGTGCTGGCAGATTAGGTGTCTGGTAAGGGCCACTCTCCACTTTTAAGATGGTGTCTTCATGCTGCATCCTCTGGAGGGGACAAATTCTACGTCCTTACATGCATAAAAGTGGAAGAGCAAGCAAAACCAAGTGCTGTTTGAGGCCTTCATTGCTTTCACAAGGGAAGAGCCTTCATGGCCTAATTACCTCTTAAAGGACCCAACTCTCAGTAGCATTACATTGACCATTAAGTTTCAACACCTGAATTTGGAAGGGACACACTCAAATTAGAGTGCCCATCATGCTAATGAATGCTTGCATGTGAGTATACATGCTGTCTTCCATGCATGTAATGAATGCCCTACTTATCCCTGCCGAATCTTCATCCAGTATATCCAGAGTGCCCCTAACCAGTGTTAAAATTCAGCTTAAGGGCCACTTCCTCCAGGTTGTTCTACCTGATCCCTTAATTTGATTTACATTTACTTCTCCTGTGGTCCTGTAGAAACACTAGACCTTTTTTTTTCCTGAAAGAATGGATGGTTGAATAGTTGAGTGAATGAATGAATGAATGCCTTGACTCTTATTCATTTTACATCCCCATTACCTACCACAGTCCCAGGCACATACTCAGTAAGAGTTTGTAAAACTGATTTTACTTGAGGGGTGCTTTTGTGCAACTAATCAAAATTATAGCATACCTTCATACATTTTTCCCCTTTATAAATCCTAAATCTAATCTAACAATGCATGTAGTTTATCTTAAGGAGTACCCTAAATAAGTGTGTGTATGGATCTATATTTATACATGGCATGGATTTCCTCTGCTTATTCTCTAATAAAAATAGGGAATTGCCAGGATAAGAGTCAGGGCCCTTAAAGATGGTATTCCAATATGGTAAGGAGCCAGCTAACGTCGAATAGTGGAAGTTTGCTGACGGGGCCCTTCTATTACTTTCCCATGCATGCTGAGGCTCTTGACTGAATGGATTTTGGAGATCCAGGCAATGTGGGACAGTAAAGCTTTTCAATAAAAACACAATATGCCAGCCAGCTGCAAATCCTACCTGCAATTTCTTCCCTTCCTTCTTCAATCCCAAGGAAATATGTCAGTGGATGCTGTCAGATCAGAACAAGCCATTGATCTATAGGGCGTGAGGGAAGGCTAGAATTTTGATGTCACAGATTCTCTCTATATAAAAGCTGCTCCTTAGTAAATGAGGTGCCTTGGGAATTCAGGCTTCTTGGACTAATAAACACCTAAAGGAGTAAAAGTCACCAGCATGCCCTGCCTTCACTCTAGGCCAATGCCTTCACAGCTAGCAGTAATTTGGGCCTAGAAATCAGTGTTTATATAATTAAAGCCTTTTCTTTCCATCACCTTGACTTAAATTCTTTTCCTGAATGTGGTTTTATTTATAGTGCACAGTTGAAAGTAAGAGGCCCCATTGTGTAATAAAAGAAAAGTAGATTAAGATATGAAAGACCTGGGTTTTAGTCATAGGTAACTGACTAAATATCCCCTTCTCCTTTCTCTTGGTGTTGGCTTCTCCATAAGTAAACTGATTGGCCAGATCAGGAGGCCAGAGATGGGACTCGGGGTTTAACCTGAGGAGATTTAACATGAGGCCTGTGGATGGGACTCAGGATTTTGTTAAGTCCTAGAAATTAGATGTAAAATTTGACACATACATTCATTTTTTCTAGTAGGAAGAACTGTAGTTTTTGCCAAATTTACAAGTGAACCTAGGGTTTGCAAAATTTATGAAATGGAGGGTTTTACTATGTCTTAGTCCATTTTCTGTTGCTTATAATGGAATACCTGAAACCGGGTGCTTTATAGAGAAAAAGAAATTTACTGCTTACAGTTTAGAGGCTGAAAAGTTCAAGGTTGAGGAGCTGCACCTGGTGAGGGCCTTCTTGCTGGTGGCAACTCTCTGTAGAGTCTTGGGGGAACACAGGGTATCACATGGCAAGGAAACTGAGCATGGTAGGTCAGGTCTGTCTCCTCTTATAAAGCCACTAAGTCCATTCCCATGATAACTCACTAATCCATATACCCATTAATCCATTAAGCCATAAATGGATTAATCTATTCCATTAAGACTCTGCCCTCATGACCCAATCACCTTTTAAAAATCTCACCTCCTGGCTGGCGCAATGTCTCACGCCTGTAATCCCAGCACTTTGGGAGGCCAAGGTGGGTGGATCACCTGAGGTCAGGAGTTCAAGACCAGCCTGGCCAGCATGGTGAAACCCCATCTCTACTAAAAATACAAAAAATAAATTAGCCGGTCATGGTGGTGGGTGCCTGTAATCCTAGATACTCAGGAGGCTAAGGCAGAGAATCGCTTGCATCTGGGAGGCGGAGGTTGTAGCGAGCCAAGATCACAACACTGCACTCCAGCCTGGGTGACAAGAGCAAGACTCTGTCTCAAAACAAACAAAACACACACACACACACACACACACACACACACACACCCCTTACCTGTTAATGTTGCCACATTGGGGATTAATTTCTACATGAATTTTGGAGGGGACAAATATTCAAGCCATACATAGCATACTAGATCTCAGCATTTGTACTTCTTTGAGGCAAAGTGAGGAAACTACTGAAGTTAAGGGGAAGAAGTTAAGAGACTTGGGTTCAAATCCTAGGTCTTCCACTTGCTCCCTTTCTCTTTTGAATGGGTCAACTTACCTCAGTGACTCTATTTCTTCATCTACAAAATAGCAATAATAATAGCTCTCTCACATGTTGTGAAGCTACCTTCACATGTTGTGAAGGGTAAGAGAAATAATGCACATGAAAAAAAAAAGGCTGGTATGTCAGAAATGTTCAAGGAATCCTTGTTCAATGAATATCTAAAGAATCAGAACATTGAGAGCCACTACTTCATCTCCTGCCCCAGAATTCTTGCCATCTAAATTCATACTTTCCTGGGTGTGATCATGAACCGACGAAATCTTAACATTGTTTTTCTTCAGGAAGGTGAGACAAGAAATAGACCTAAGTGATTAGCATGTTTCCACACAAATGGAAATCCATTTGAACTAATAGAATCATTCTAAGTCTTTAAAAGAAAGAGACAGGGTCCAGGCCAAGCGTGGTGGCTCATGCCTGTAATCCCAGCACTTTGGGAGGCCAAGGCAGGAGGATCACAAGGTCAGGAGTTCGAGACCAGGCTTGCCAATATGGTGAAACCCCGTCTTTACTAAAAATACAAAAAAATTAGCTGGGCATGGTGGTGTGCACCTGTGGTTCTGGCTACTCGGGAGGCTGAGGCAGAAGAATCGCTTGAACCCAGGAGGTATATGTTGCAATGAGCCGAGATCACACCACTGCACTCCAGCCTGGGCAAGAGAGCAAGACTCTGTCTAAATAAATAAATAAGAGATGGGGTCTAGCTAATGCACCTAATCGTTGACCTGAAAAAAAAATATATATATATATATATAACCTGAAAAAAAATATATCTTTTGTATATCTTATACAATCTTTAAATCTTTTGTAAAATCATATATATATATATATATATATATATATATATATATATGGCCATTTCCCTAGATCCTTATTTTGACATCATGTCTGTCTACAAAACCTGGTAATACCAGGTTAATACTCAGGGTCATGCACTGAAGGGTGTAGGTTTGGAGATCGCATGGGAGAAGTGGCCTCAGACTGACAAGAAGTTTGCTGCACAGCTAGCTTGCACTGCATTAGACCTAGCAAACCTACATACTTAGAATGAGCCAATAACATCCCACCAACACCTGTGCCCATGTCACCAAAAGATTGGCTGCTTTACTGTCAACATCTTTCTCTGTCTTACAATCACCTCAACCTAAGTAGAGCTCTTTTGTAAAATCTTTTTTCCCAAGGAACTTACACATATTTTTAAAATTACATTAATCTTCAATGCATTGTTATCTTTTTTTTTTTAAGAGACAGTGTCTCACTCTGTCGCTAAGGCTGGAGTACAGTGGTGCAATCAAGGCTCACTGCATCCTTGATCTCCTGGGCTCAGGTGATCCTTCCACCTCAGCCTTCTAAGTAGCTAGGACCACCACCTAGCTATTCTACCACACATATTCCACCACACCTAGCTAATGTTTTAAATTTTTTGGAGATGGGATCTCTCTGTGTTGCCCAGGCTGCTCTCCAATTCCTGGGCTCTAGCAAACCTCCAGACTTGGTCTCCCAGAGTGCTGGGATTATAAGCATGAGCCACCATCTATCTT
Organism: Homo sapiens; assembly: GCF_000001405.40. Taxonomy (NCBI): domain Eukaryota; kingdom Metazoa; phylum Chordata; class Mammalia; order Primates; family Hominidae; genus Homo; species Homo sapiens. The sequence goes on from NC_000001.11 coordinate 209,086,192, forward strand.
TATTTTATAGATGAGGAAATGAAGTTTATGAGCATAGTAAAAGATGGAATGGATATGAATCCAGGTGTCTCAGACTCAAAAGTTTTCAAACTAAACCCTAAGACCTCAAGACATATTGATTAATAAAATATGGTCCTTGCTCTTGTGGACCAATGAGAGACACAGATATGTAAACAGAAGACTATAATACAGGTCCTATGTCTCTCGCTTTCCAGGTTGGATGTATGCAAAGAGGATTTGAGAGCAAGGAAGTTCCCTTACCTAGAGCTGTTGGCGAAAGAGAAGTGTATGTAAAACATAAAGTTGATGAAAGGCCTCTTTTAAGAGTTGAGTCTTTGAAGATGGAGGATAATTAGTCCAAAGAAGGCAGGCCATGCCACACAGAATGATGAGCACATAGAAAAGCACAGAGGCAAGTGCAAGACATCAGGGAACCCAAACCCACAAGTCACTTAGATGTAAGTGTTCCTGGCGATATGGAGAACTTGCAAAAAGCCCCACATTCTCTTAGCAGCCTTGAGAGATGGGAGGCTGCCCTTGTGCCAAGAATGAACTTGTGATCTTAGCTCTGGTACTCTGGAAAGCGATAAGGGCTTTGGGGACCCCTGAAACTGGTTTTTCACTCATTTTCTCTAACCCAGACATCCCAATCTCAGCACGAAAGGTTACAATTTCCCTGGGAAGAAATTGTGCTGACCTCAGGTTTTCACAAAGAGTGTGATATTTCTGCTTGGCTGCACAGCCTGCTGAAACACTGCTAAAAAAGCTAGTGAGCAAGACGTCCCAAAAGCAAGCAGCTGCATAGGAGGACTGAGCAGAAGTTTGCTTGTGGTTTATTAATCTCAAGTGAGGAAGACAAGGTGACTACATTCTGAGAAGTTGTAAATGCTCCAGGGACTGGCTGCATTTTGCAACTCAGCTCCACCAGTGCCCGCTTTCTCATCCAAAGGAGAGGGAGTGCTCACTGCGCAGCTGATAGCATCAACAAGGAGGGGCTCTGAGGCCAACAAAAGCAGTCCAGGAATAAGGGTCCTGATTTTCTGTTTGTATTATCAATTATTTGGACTAAGAATTTTCAGGCTTTCATTTGCCCCTCCGCAAAACAGGAAAATATTTCTCACTATAATAGTGTAAACTTAGATGTCGTAAATGTTTTCTAAGTATTTAACTGTTGATTGTTCTCAACAAAGACAATGAATAAATGTGGTCTGGATTTTTAGGAGTTGCAGAAATTAAATCTGATCTTACACTATTGATTAAATTTATTCAGTAGTTGAATTGAGAAAGCCAAATAAGCCAGAATATTTCCCATTGCATTTTCCTAACCCTGATTATTCATGGAACAGATTCTCCTTGTTCAACCCATATTTGCTAAAGGCATATACATTCAAGTTCAACTCTTTGGGGTTAACAAACTCTTCTTTTAAAAATAAAAATCTTATGAAGAGGGGAACATAAATTACTAATCACTTAGTATGATTATTTTACTCAACTTAGTGCCCCTCCATACCACTGATGGCATAGAAACAAGAAGAACCTCCTGATGTGAAAAGGAAAAAAAAATGTTTACCAAGGACTTCTGCTTCTGACTATAATGGAAAAACCAAAATTAGATTTGTCTTCCTGCCTTAAACAAAATAATTATAACAACAAAACCAGACTAAATACACACACACACACACACACACACACACACACACATACACACACACACGTACACACACACACACAGATTTTCAGGCCGGGCGTGGTGGCTCATGCCTGTAATCCCAGCACTTTGGGAGGCCAAGGAGGGCAGATCACCTGAGGTTGGGAGTTTGAGACCAGTTTGACCAACATGGAGAAACCCCATCTCTACTAAAAAAACAAAATTAGCCAGGTGTGGTGGCACATGCCTGTAATCCCAGCTACTTGGGAGGCTGAGGCAAGAGAATCGCTTGAACCTGGGAGGCGGAGGTTGCAGTGAGCCAAGATCACACCATTGCACTCCAGCCTGGGCAACAAGAGTGAAACTCCGTCTCAACAACAACAACAACAAAAAAAAAACAAAAAGATTTTCAATCATTGAGCACAGGTTCCACAGGATTGTGAGTTCTCAGAGAAAACAATAAATAAATGAAGTGCCTCCTATAATTGTAGAATATTACAATCTGAAAGCAATTTCTAGGCTGCTTTTCAGGGAAAGTGAAACCAACAAGGGTTTGATGTTCTTGCTGAGTTGAAGAGATGGAGACTGAAATTAAAGGAGACCAAGGTAGCTAGAAGTTGGAAGAAGGAGATAGTAGAGGAGATATTTACAGAGCTGCAGAGCTCTGAAGAAAGGGTCCCTGAAGTCTTTGGCTGAGACCTGCTATGAGTATGCATGTAAGAAAATAACCTGAAGCTGGAAAAAGAATCACCAAAAAATAGAAGGCAGAACACTATCTGGAGATCAAATGGGGATGAGAACAATTTATTCTTGCATCAGTCAGAATGGAAAGACTTCTAATATGTGAGATGCTGTATAAATTCCTTGAGTAAAATTGCCTTAGTAGTGGAACTAAATTAGCACTATACAAAAGTCTGCTCTAAACCTGGCCTAGAAAGTTAAAGAGCAAACCTTATAAAAATCAAGCTAATCTGAAGTAACTTAAGTACAAGCCAAAATAAAGTGTGATGCTCTTTAAAATAATATAACAAAATCCAACAATCCAACGTAAAGAATACATAATATCTGCATTCAATCAAAAATGTGCAATGAAGTAGAAAAATATGAACCGCAACCAGGAGAAAACCTAATTAATTAAAGCAGACCCAGAAATGACAGGTGATAGAATTAGCCAATAAAGATGTTAAGATAGTTATCATAAAAATGCTTCATAAGCTCAAAAAGTAAAAAAGAAAAAAAAAAGACATAAGCATAATGAGAAGAGAAACGAACTTTCTGTGTGTGTATGTGTGTGTGTGTATGTGTGTGTGTGTGTATGTGTGTGTCCAAACAGAACTTCTGGAGATGCAGATGTAGAAGTTAGAAAACTTTTGTCTATTTGGGTTATGTTAACTAATCCAAAAAAGTAAAGAAAAGAAGAGAGAAGGAAAGAAAATATTTTTACTTAACTGTAGAGAAAGGAGATAAACTAGAGAATTTCAAAGAACTGAACCGTTCTTACTCCAACTTTAAGAATACAACTTAATCAGGTTTGACAAATATTACAGTCATTACTACTATCACAATCATGACACAGACAATTTTTATACACCCAAAAGTTCCCTCATGCCCTTTTGCAGTCAATACTGGCATCTGCTCCCAGTGTCCATCAAGTGATCAACTCTCTGCCTATATTATTTTGTGTTTTCTAGGATTTCATATAAATGGAATCAAACAGTATAACAACTTTTGTGTCTGGTTTCTTCCACTCAGCATAGTGCTTGTGATATTTACACACATTATTGCACATAATAAAAGTTTATTTTTTAAATTGTTGAGTAGCACTTAATTATATAGAGATGAAAAATACAATATCTGCAATGAAAAAGACATTGGGTGGAGTTCACAGCAGATCAAACAGAGGAGAAGAAAAGATTAGTAAATTTGAAGATATAGCAATATAATCTGTCCAAATGAAGGAGGAAAGGAAAAAACTTTAAAAGAAGAGAACAGAGCATCTGTTTGTAGAACAATGTCAGTGTGTATAATAGCAGTCCAGGATGGATAAGGAGAGGGATAGACAAAATGCTTAAAGAAATAATGGTCAAAATTTTCCAAATTTGAAGAAAAATATCAACACATAAACACAACAAGCTCAAAGAAACTCAAGCAGAAAAATGTAAAGAAAAGCATACCAAGGTGCATCATGATGAAATTTCAGAGAAACAGTGATAAGAAAACCTTAAAAGGGCCGGGTGCAGTGGCTCATGCCTGTAATCCCAGCACTTTGGGAGGCCGAGGCGGGTGGATCAGGAAGTCAGGAGATCAAGATCATCCTGGCTAACATGGTGAAACTCTGTCTCTACTAAAAATGCAAAAAAAATTAGCTGGGCTTGGTGGTGGGCGCCTGTAGTCCCAGCTACTTGGGAGGCTGAGGCAGGAGAATGGCATGAACCCAGGAGGCGGAGCTTGCAGTGAGCTGAGATCGCGTCACTGCACTCCAGCCTGGGTGACAGAGTGAGACTCTGTCTCAAAAAACAAAAAAAGAAGAAAAAAAAGGAAACCTTAAAAGAAGCTGGAGAGGAAAAAAGATGCACTGCATAAAAAGTAACAAAGGTAAGAGTTACAGCAGACTCACCATCAGAAACCATACACATAGAAGATAATAGAACATTATGTTTTAAGTATTGAAAGAAACAAACTATCGACCTAGAATTCTATATCCAGGAAAAATGTAAGTAATGAATGAAGGTGAAATAAACAAAACAGACAAACAAAAGATGACATAATTTATTGCCAGCTACCTGAACTATAAGAAATGCTAAAAGAGGGTTTTCAAGAAGAAAGAAAATTATATTAGATTTAATCTACTGAAAGGAATGAATAGCACCAGTATGTGGTAAATATGGAATTAAATATAAATAACATTTTATTTCATTTTACAATCTTTTAAATAGTTGACAAACTAAAGCAAATATAGTAACAACATAATGTATGATTGTATCATAAGTAAAAGTAAAATAAATGACAAAAATTGCAGAGAAGACAGGAGAGGTGAGGGAACTATAACACTGTTAGGTTCTTACACTACACATAAAGTTATTTACTTAAAAGTATAATGTGATGAGTTAAAACTGTATATTGCAACTCTAGAGCAATCACTAAAATTATAAAACAAAGAACTGTGAGTAATAAATTCATAGTGGACATAGAACGAAACTATTTTTAAAATTTAATTAACCCAAAAGAAGACAGAAAAAGAAAGAAATAAGAACAAAGAACAGATATGACAAATAGAAAATAGCAAAGTGGTAGATTTAACCCAACTATACTGATAATTACATTAAATTTAAATGAGTCAAACTTTTTAGTCAACAGGAAGAACTCGTGAGAATGTATAAAAAAGCAAGACCCAATTATATGCTATCTATAAGAAACCTATCCTGTATATAGAAACTTTTGTAGGTCAAAAGTTAAAGGGTGAAAGACATCCTATACAAACACTAGTGAAAAGAAAGTTTAAATTACTACATTAGTACAGACATACAGACTTCAGAACCAGAATTTTAACCAGGAAAATGGAAGAATAGGTTATAGTTATAACAGAGTCAATTTATCATAAGGACATAATTTTTCTAAATGTATGCACATAACAACAGAACTTCAAAACACAGCATGCAAAAACTGGTAGAACTAAAAGAAGAACTACAGAAATCCACAATTATTGTTAGAGACTTCAACACTCTTCTCTCAGTAATTAATAAGCTATCTAGTTACACACACACACACACACAAATTTAGGCATATAGAAGAGATGAACAATAACATCCACAAACATGACCAATTAACATCTATAGAATACTCTACCCAACAGCAGTATAGTACCCATTTTTTATGCAGACATGTAAAAACATTCACCAGATAGACCATATTTTGAAACATTTATCAAATATTTTGAGAAAATTAAAAGCTTGTGTTCTCTGACTATTGCAGAATAAAAATGGAAACGAACAGCAAAGAGCTAGCTAGAAAGAGCCAAAATATTTTAAAACAAAAAATACAGTTCTAAATAACACGAGTAAAAGAAGAAATTAAAGAGAAAATCAGAATATATCTTTGAATGTATGAAAATGAAAGTGAATATATCACAATGTATTTGTGGGTAGAACTTTATAGAAAAGAAAGAAGCCTTAAATCTATTGTCTAAGTTTCTGTCTTAAGAAACCAGACAAAGAAGAAAACATTGAAGCCAAAATATCAGAAGAGTAAAACTAAAAAAGATGAGAACGGAAATAAGTTAGGTTGAAAACAGAACTTCAGCAGAGAAAAATTCAAGAATCATAAGCGGACCCTTTGAAAAGGTCAGTATGATTAATATGCCTCAGGGATTGAACTGTCAAATATGGTAGCGACTGGCCTGGCCACATGAAGCTATTGAGTTGTAGTCAGAATAAAGTAAAATATGCTGTAGGTATGAAGTACCTACAGCATTTTGAAAATTTCTAGAAAAAAATATGGGAGAAAATCTCTGTGTCCTTAGGGTAAGAAAGGTATCCTAGGACACAAAAAAGGCCAAACCACAAAATTTAAAAATTGATAAATTAGATATCCAAATTTTAAAAGTTTACTTTTCAAGCTTTTGCTCTTCCAAAGAAAATTTTAAGAAAATATAAAGGTAAACTGCAGAGGAGCAGGAATATTTGCAAAAAAAAAAAAAAATTGATAAAAGAGGTGAATCTAAAATATATTTTAAAATTTTTAATGGTTATTAGAAGATAACAGAAGACAACCCAGTTTTAAAATGGGCAAAATATTTGAAATTATTTCACCACATAAGGTATAGAGTACATATAAGCATATTATAAGTTGTTCAATATAACTAGTGAAGAGGAAAATGAAAATTAAAACCACAATGAGCTATCAGAATATACCCACTAGAGTGGCCAAATTTAAAAGACTGAAAACACAGAGCGCTGGTGAGGGTGTGGAGCAACTGAAACGCTCATACATTGCTGATAGGAACACAAAATGTTGCGGTCACTTGGGGAAACAATTTGGTAGTTTCCTATAAATTTAAGCGTATGCTTTTTAACACAACAAAACCATTCCACTTTGAGATTCACCCAAAAGAAAGGAAAACATGTATGTACACACAAAGACTTCTCATGAATGTTTTAAGTAACAGCTCTTCAGCCAAAAGTCCCCAGTAACATACCTAGAGCTAAACAAGCTGAGTTTATTACTCATTGCAGTGAGGGAGAGCAGATACCATGGGGAACCTTGGGTGTCTCAGTAAGAGGGCATTAGAAAGAAGAAGCTATTGCAGGATTTGGAGTTTGCTTGGATGATTTGTTGGGCAGGCTAAGGAAGTAGGAGTTGACTCTAGATTGGGGATCTCAGAAAGAGAAGGAAATTCTATGATTGGGTAATTCAATAAATCTTATCTAAGGGAGCATGCAGCTGCAATTAGTAAAGATGTAGGAGTTATTCATTTTAGCCAAGAGGGGATGTTTAGTATTTTGTGGATGGCACAATGACATTGTTTCTGTTTGTGCTTAGACAAAATTATGAGGTGGGCTTATGAAGTGGGTTTGTTTTTGCTTTGTTTTATCATGGTCTCAGAGTAACCATATCTGAGTTTAGATTTTGTGAGATTGTTTGCATCCAATAGGAAAATAATTCAACCTAGCTGTAAGCCTCAGGCCAGCTTTCAAATGTCAGAGGATAACTTTTTCTTTTTTCCTTTCAGTCAAAAACTGAAAACAATCCAAATGTTCATCAACTGGTGAATGTATAAACAAATTGTGATGTAGGTGGGAACTTTTGGGTATGTGAAAATGGTCTATGTCATGATTGTGT